>NW_012132921.1:0-169136 GCF_000001405.40 Homo sapiens | reverse complement strand
GAATTCATAGACATTATTTCTGTGCTATAACTTTGTATGAGCAGGTTGAAGGCCATATAACTCACCTCAAGAATAACCTGAAAGAATGACATAAAAGTTAGAATTCTCCATTTTCTCACATATGCGAGTGAATATGCAATTCAACTCTTCCAAGGGAAAAAAAAAAAAGAACTTGGAGGAAAAGAAACTAGAACTGAATAACGTAAGTCAGATACTTTCATAGACTGTAAGCTACAAAGAAAGAATGTTAAGGGCAGCCAGAGAGAAAGGTCAGGTTACCCACAAAGGGAAGCCCATCAGACTAACAGCTGACCTCTCCACAGAAACTCTACAAGCCAGAAGAGAGAGGGGACCAATATTCAACATTCTTAAAGAAAAGAATTTTCAACCCAGAATTTCATATCCAGCCAAACTAAGCTTCATAAGTGAAGGAGAAATAAAATCCTTTACAGACAAGCAAATGCTGAGAGATTCTGTCACCACCAGGCCTGCCCTAAGAGAGCTCCTGAAGGAAGCACTAAACATGGAAAGGAACAACCGGTACCAGCCACTCCAAAAACATGCCAAATTGTAAAGACCATCAAGGCTAGGAAGAAACTGCATCAACTAATGAGCAAAATAAACAGCTAACATCATAATGAGAGGATCAAATTCACACATAACAATAACCTTAAATGTAAATGGGCTAAATGCTCCAATTAAAAGACACACACTGGCAAATTGGATAAAGAGTCAAGACCCATCAGTGTGCTGTATTCAGGAAACACATCTCACCTGCAGAAACACACATAGGCTCAAAATAAAGGGATGGAGGAAGATCTACCAAACAAATGGAAAACAAAAAAAGGCAGGGGTTGCAATCCTAGTCTCTGATAAAACAGACTTTAAACCAACAAAGATCAAAAGACAAAGAAGGCCATTACATAATGGTAAAGGGATCAATTCAACAAGAAGAGCTAACTATCCTAAATATATATGCACCCAATACAGGAGCACCCAGATTCATAAAGCAAGTCCTTAGGGACCTACAAAGAGACTTAGACCCCCACACAATAATAATGGGAGACTTAACAACCCACTGTCAACATTAGACAGATCAATGAGACAGAAAGTTAACAAGGATATACAGGAATTGATCTCAGCTCTGCACCAAGCGCATCTAATAGACATCTACAGAACTCTCCACCCTAAATCAACAGAACATACATTCTCAGCACCACACCTATTCCAAAATTGACCACATACTGGGAAGTAAAGCACTCCTCAGCAAATGTAAAAGAACAGAAATTATAACAAACTGTCTCTCAGACCACAGTGCAATCAAACTAGAACTCAGGATTAAGAAACTCACTCAAAACTGCTCAACTACGTGGAAACTGAACCACCTGGTCCTGAATGACTACTGGGTACATAACGAAATGAAGGCAGAAATAAAGATGTTCTTTGAAACCAACGAGAACAAAGACACAACATACCAGAATCCCTGGGACACATTCAAAGCAGTGTGTAGAGGGAAATTTATAGCACTAAATGCCCACAGGAGAAAGCAGGAAAGATCTAAAATTGACACCCTAACGTCACAATTAAAGGAACTAGAGAAGCAAGGGCAAACACATTCAAAAGCTAGCAGAAGGCAAGAAATAACTAAGATCAGAGCAGAACTGAAGGAAATAGAGACACAAAAAAACCCTTCAAAAAATCAATGAATCCAGGACCTGGTTTTTTGAAAAGATCAACAAAATTGATAGACTGCTAGCAAGACTAATAAAGAAGAAAAGAGAGAAGAATCAAACAGATGCAATAAAAAATGATAAAGGGGATATCACCACCAATCCCACAGAAATACAAACTATCATCAGAGAATACTACAAACACCTCTATGCAAATAAACTAGAAAATCTAGAAGAAATGGATAAATTCCTTGACACATACACCCTCCCAAGACTAAACCAGGAAGAAGTTGAATCTCTGAATAGATCAATAACAGGCTCTGAAATTGAGGCAATAATTAATAGCTTACCAACCAAACAAAATCCGGGACCAGATGGATTCACAGCCGAATTCTACCAGAGGTACAAGGAGGAGCTGGTACCATTCCTTCTGAAACTATTCCAATCAATAGAAAAAGAGGGAATCCTCCCTAACTCATTTTATGAGGCCAGCATCATCCTGATACCAAAGCCTGGCAGAGACACAACAAAAAAAGAGAATGTTAGACCAATATCCCTGATGAACATCGGTGCAAAAATCCTCAATAAAATACTAGCAAACTGAATCCAGCAGCACATCAAAAAGCTTATCCACCATGATCAAGTGGGCTTCATCCCTGGGATGCAAGGCTGGTTCAACATAAGCAAATCAATAAACGTAATCCAGCATATAAACAGAACCAGTGACAAAAACCATATGATTACCTCAATAGATGCAGAAAAGGCCTTTGACAAAATTCAACAGCCCTTCATGCTAAAAACTCTCAATAAATTAGGTACTGATAGGACATATCTCAAAATAATAAGAGCTATCTATGACAAACCCACAGCCAATATCATACTGCGTGGGCAAAAACTGGAAGCATTCCCTTTGAAAACTGGCACAAGACAGGGATGTCCTCTCTCACCACTCCTATTCAACATAGTGTTAGAAGTACTGGCCAGGGCAATCAGGCAGGAGAAGGAAATAAAGGGTATTCAATTAGGAAAAGAGGAAGTCAAATTGTCCCTGTTTGCAGATGACATGATTGTATATCTAGAAAACCCCATCATCTCAGCCCAAAATCTCCTTAAGTTGATAGGCAACTTCAGCAAAGTCTCAGGATACAAAATCAATGTGCAAAAATCACAAGCATTCTTATACACCAATAATAGACAAACAGAGAGCCAAACCATGAGTGAACCGCCATTCACAATTGCTTCAAAGAGAATAAAATACCTAGGAATCCAACTTACAAGGGATGTGAAGGACCTCTTCAAGAAGAACTACAAACCACTGCTCAATGAAATAAAAGAGGATACAAACAAACGGAAGAACATTCCATGCTCATGGGTAGGAAGAATCAATATCGTGAACATGGCCATACTGCCCAAGGTAATTTATAGATTCAATGCCATCCCCATCAAGCTACCAATGCCTTTCTTCACAGAATTGGAAAAAACTACTTTAAAGTTCATATGGAACCAAAAAAGAGCCCGCATTGCCAAGTCAATCCTAAGCCAAAAGAACAAAGCTGGAGGCATCATGCTACCTGACTTCAAACTATACTACAAGGCTATAGTATATCAAAACAGAGATATAGACCAATGGAACAGAACAGAGGCCTCAGAAATAATGCCGCATATCTACAACCATCTGATCTTTGACAAACCTGACAAAAACAAGAAATGGATAAAGGATTCCCTATTTAACAAATGGTGCTGGGAAAACTGGCTAGCCATATGTAGAAAGCTGAAACTGGATCCCTTCCTTACACCTTATACAAAAATTAATTCAAGATGGATTAAAGACCTAAATGTTAGACCCAAAACCATAGAAACCCTGGAAGAAAACCTGGGCAATACCATTCAGGACATAGGCATGGGCAAGGACTTCATGTCTCAAACACCAAAAGCAATGGCAACAAAAGCCAAAATTGACAAATGGGATCTAATTAAACTAAAGAGCTTCTGCATAGCAAAAGAAACTACCATCGGAGTGAATAGGCAACCTACAGAATGGGAGAAAATTTTTGCAATTTACTCATCTGACAAAGGGCTAATATCCAGAATCTACAATGAAGTCAAACACATTTACAAGAAAAAAACAACCCCATCAACAAGTGGGTGAAGGATATGAACAGACACTTCTCAAAAGAAGACATTTATGTAGCCAACAGACACATGAAAAAATGCTCATCATCACTGGCCATCAGAGAAATGCAAATCAAAACCACAATGAGATACCATCTCACACCAGTTAGAATCATTCAAAAGTCAGGAAACAACAGGTGCTGGAGAGGATGTGGAGAAATAGGAACACTTTTACACTGTTGGTGGGACTGTAAACTAGTTCAACCATTGTGGAAGTCAGTGTGGTGATTCCTCAGGGATCTAGAACTAGAAATACCATTTGACCCAGCCATCCCATTACTGGGTATATACCCAAAGGATTATAAATCATGCTGCTATAAAGACACATGCACATGTATGTTTATTGCGGCACTATTCGCAATAGCAAAGACTTGGAACCAAGCCAAATGTCCAACAATGATAGACTGGATTAAGAAAATGTGGCACATATACACCATGGAATACTATGCAGCTGTAAAAAAGGATGAGTTCATGTCCTTTGTAGGGACATGGATGAAGCTGGAAACCATCATTCTCAGCAAACTATCGCAAAGACAAAAACCAAACACCGCATGTTCTCACTCACAGGTGGGAATTGAACAATGAGAAAACATGGACACCGGAAGGGGAACATCACACACCGGGGCCTGTTGTGGGGTGGGGGGAGGGGGGAGGGATAGCATTAGGAGATATACCTAATGTTAAATGACAAGTTAATGGGTGCAGCACACCAACATGGCACATGTATACATACGTAACAAACCTGCACATTGTGCACATGTACCCTAAAACTTAAAGTATAATTTAAAAAATAAAAAATATATAAAAATAAAAAACAGACAGACATGACTAAAAACTGATAGAAGAAAAACAAGCCCAGATTTGTAATGTCTATCCTGGACTTCCACATTTTAAAGATGGAGTTTGACAGATTATGATAAAAAGTATTCTAAGAATTAAACAGAGAGGCTAGAAAGCAAATGGAAAAGAAAATGGCAATATGGCAAAGACTCGGATCAGATCCCAGGCCCTCAAAATCAGAAGATGATAAAGATTTTCAGCCAAGTTATACCTCATTACAAACCACTGTGAGTGAAGAATACAGGTATGAAAGAATGAGATGGGAATTTTTCATTACCATTCCAAGGTGAAGAGGTGGGCTGTTCTATCTTACCAGCAGTAAATTGATAAATTCTATGTCAATTTCACTATCACAGAGCTCTGCAACATTTCATAACTGCCAATTTGGGCTTCAGACTATAGAAACCCCCAAATCTCTGTCTAAAAGTCTAAATACTTCCACGATTTGTAATTCTTGATTAGATGTTATTTTTCTCTCTTAAACTGAAAAATGCTTCATGGTTTTTAAAATTTCTTCCATTTCCATTTGACATACTCATTCTCCCAATACTTTAGGCTGAGAGTAAATGGAATTTATTCTAAAATTTTTAAAAAATATATATAGACACTTCTTGCATCTCAGTTAAGGAAAGGAAGATATGTTGCTTACAGCCACATGCTATCTATGAATATATTTACTTGGCTTCTCTAGTTGTGATCTCGCCTCACTGCAACCTCCACCATCAGCGTTCAAGTGATTCTCCTGCCTCAGCCCCCTGAGTAGTTGGGATTACAGGCATGAGCCACCATGTCCAGCTAATTTTTTGTAATTTTAGTAGATGGGTTTTGCTATAATGGCTAGGCTGGTCTCAAACTCCTGGCCTCAAGCTATCCACCCACCCCAGCCTCCCAAAGTGAGGGGATTACTCACTTTGTAAGTGAGCATGAGCCACTGCTCCTGTTCATCAGTGCACTTTATTCTTTTTGCTAATCATACTTGTCAATGTTTGTAACATGAATGTTCATGTCTTGTAGACCATTCGTTAGAGCGCTTGTCTCTGATTCTCCAATCAGGTGCATGCTTACTAAGAATGCGTGAGGCTGTTTCTTATGTTTTAAGCTAATTGTGCTTAATATGTCTATGAAGTTTAATTCAATTATAATAAAAATAATAAATATGAGGGAAAGACAATAATTGTTTCTTCTAAGAAAATTAATTTGAATGCTTTGGAAAGGTACATAATTTAAACATGCTTTTGAATTAGACATGAATGAGAGTCCAGGAAAAGCTTAGGAACATAATTAAAAAGATTTTGCCAGGTGCAGGTGCTCACACCTGTAATCTCAGCACTTTGGGAGGCAGAGGCAGGAGGATCACTTGAGGTCAGGACTTTGAGACCAGCCTGGGTAACATAGTGAAACTCCATCTCCACAAAACCTGAAAAATAAATAGTAGCAGGGCACAACAGTGCACACCTGTAGTCCCAGGTACTTTGGAGCCTGAGGCAGGAAGATCACTTGAGCACGGGAGTTCAAAGCTGCAGTGAGCTATGATTATGCCACTGAACTCCAGCCTGAATGACAGAGCAAGACCCCATCTCAAAAAAGAAACAAACAAACAAAACCTTGCTCCTAGATGGCTACACAGGTTTTTTAATCGTACTTTACACACACACTCACACACACACAAAAAGCCATGGAGGGAAGTGGTGGAAAGGGGGACTGTTGTTTAATGGGAATATAGCTTGAGATTTACCAGATGAAAAATTTCTGGAGATCTCTTTCACAATAATGTGAATACACCTAACGCTACTGAACTGTACACTTAAAAAAAATGCCAAGCTAGTTATCCTAGATGACAGAGTTATAAGCATATTTTTCCTAAGAACTGCAATTAAACATTGCCCTTTTAAAAAATTGGTTTCATATCAAAAGACGTACCAAGAAATAATGCGCATTCACATGTTGAGTGAACATTAAACATAAAATTCATAGGAGTGATAATTTTTATGATTTTCCACTTTAACCAAATCGATTTTGTTCAATACATTGGTGGTGAATATTATTGTATATAAATACTTGTGGTTACTAAATCTAAGAAGGGAGTCTTTCTCAACTTTGGTGTTGGCGTTTTAAAATCATGTTTCTTGGATAGAATCCTAGAGAACCAAGACAGAGCTTTCAGAGCTGTCATGGTGGGGATGAAGATGGGAGAGGGCATCTAAGAGTTGGCAAGAGGGTATAAGTCAGTGGGTAAAAAAGTACACCTAAGACTCCAGGACCCCAACTCCTGGACTGTAAATTCTTCTCCAGTGAAAACTCACGGATTTCATTAGTTATATGTTGTGTTCCTGCAGAGCTCACAAAACGAAAGGTTCTATGGATTTTAAGTTAGAGAAATATGGTTTCAGATAGCAAAAGACAAGGAGAAGGAAGTCACTTTTACTGGGTGCTTATTATGTGCCAGGAACTATCCTAGACCTTTTAAAAATGTAGACACTTTTTATTTCACCTTCACAGCAAATTTAAGAGAGAGTTATTATTATCTAATTTTATTGAGAGAAAATTATGCCTCAAATACATTAATTAATTCAGGCAAAATCACAATGCTTATAATAAAAGTCAGGTATTTTTTCAAATCCCTTTTGTTTCAACTTTACCTAGCAGGTCCTTTTGTCTCACAGATGTCAATTATGTGTTCGTGTCACAAATTATCACACAGGTATATATATATATATATATATATATATATATATATATATATATATATGTATGTATGTATGTATGAAAATGTTTTCTTGGAACAGCATATGTCATTATTTTATTTTCAAAAAGCATTCAGCATTGGGAAGAAGCAGTAACCCAATTATGACTTTAAATAAATGTGAAAGCAATATTCCGAGGCAGGTTATTCAATGTGTTAACAGAAATATTTTAATGAACTGCCCAGGGAAATTCAGAAGCAGAATTAAAGAGTGATGATACTCTCATTTGGACTTAAGGCTAAGTTGCATTGCATTAAATTTTCAATTCTCAGACTCATATTATAAGGGGACTTAGTGTAAATAAAAGCACTGAAAAATTTGGACTATGGCACCTTAACATCCCCACCCATGAAAGGTACAAGCCAAGAAGAGCTTGGACCATGTGTAATTCTGCACAGTTCATTGTACTTGTTCTGAAACAAATCATCTTGAAGGAGCAAGTTCAAAGCAAAGTCAGAAGAAAGCATCTGTGTTTCTAGCTAGGAAATCGATTATTTCAGCTAAAGGAAACTCAGATATTCGTTTCACCAGAAAAAATTTACATGCAAACAAAGATACCACACCAGCATGGCACATGTATACATATGTAACTAACCTGCACATTGTGCACATGTACCCTAAAACTCAAAGTATAATAATAATAAAATAAAGAAAAAAAAAACAAAGATACCACTCTTTACAATTTAGCTGTCGTATGAGCAAGAAAGTTAATCACTTTCTTTTGACTCCATGAAGATGAAAGGTTGAGGGCAAAAAAAATTTGTTGGAATTCCTAATACAAGTTCCATGATACTCTGTTTGTTGATTCTACTTCAAGTTTTTATAGTCACGCATACAGTTTGGTCATAAAAATTCTCATACACATTATATTTTTATGAATTAATTATTCAGAGACATAACTCTTGGAATTTAATAAGCTTATGATATTCTTCTCTTGGACAAATTATAGAATCACATTTCTGCTTCAACTTATCTCCACTTTTCTATCATCTGATAACTCTCAACTCTTGAATAAAATTTGAGGTAACAAACAAATATAAAAGACACAATGCAACAAAAAGTAGTCACATGATCCTTAAATTGCCTTTACTATATTGCTGTGCAATCAAGGGCAAGACTTTTCTTTGTTCTGATACTCGCTGAATAGCAATACAGACATGCGATCTTCACATTACTATGATTAGAAAAAGGGGAGGGGGGAGGACAATCTCAAATCAATTTTACATTAAAGCAAAGAATTTTTGGCAGTATTGCTTTCCCTTGCAATCTCTGTAGGCACCAACAAAAGCACCACTTGTGGTGGGGGGAGAAGGTGTTTTATGAAAAAAAAATAGCTTTTTCAAAGGCTGTTTATTGCTTTAAGTGTTGTTTAAAAGCTTTTTAAAAAGCAGCTTTTTTCTTCTCCTTAGGCATCAACAGGGGATAATTGCCTTAACACGCTTTTAAATAACCCTGTTTAAGACACATAGGAGCATCAAAAGCCTCTGCTTAGAAAACTTTTTACTTAACTGGATTGTGTGGGAGTGGAGCTGGGGTCAGCCATAGAAACTCTCTCTACAAATAATGACACTCTGAATTTTCCTTCGGGATGATTTATTTTATTTTATTTAAATTTTCATATAGTAAAATGGAATTCTTTGCGTACATGTCTATGAAAGTTAACACATGCATAGATTCATGTAACCACCGTGATGATCAGGTTACAGACAAGTCTATCACCCCAGAAAAAATCTCTGTCATGTTCCTTTGGAGTCACACGCTCCTCCCCTCAAACTCTGGCAACCACTGATCCATTCATCATTACACTTTTGTCTCGCAGAGTGTCATACAATGAGTAACATGTTTCGTTTGTGACTAGGAAGATGACTGACCTGAGAGCTGAAGTGTGACTTATGATTTTTTTCTGCATAGAAGATGAACGGAGGCAATGAAATCAGCTGTGAAATATGAAACTCTTGAGCCCTCTGTGGCAGGTGCTCACCCAATGTGCTTTAGAGTCTCTAAGCCAGGTAGTTTGCAGGTTCCAGAAGTATAAACTGCAACCTGGGCAAATCAGAATGGATAAGGTCCTTCTACAGAGGGGAACATTCAAATTCTGCAATGGCTGCAAGTTGTGATATCAGGACTAGAAGTACCAAAGCTTCTTTTCAATAACTATTGTATTATTAAGTAGGATAATTTCTTAGGTATTTTTGTCACCCCAAAAGTTAACTGGGTTGTCTTTTATCTACAGCAAGCCAGGGCATGTTATAGCACCACAAGGATATGAAAGAAGAAAATTAAGCAGCTTCATCTTAAAGCTGAAATCTAAATTTCCATCTCCCTTAAATATAGCTGACCCTAAGGTTTATTAGTTTTACATTTCGAGAAACTTTAAGAAATTATATACATCTAAATTAAGAAAAGATATTCAACTATTTTTAACCTAATGAAAGAGCTGCTCGGGTCAGTTTAATAGTATTTTATGACTTGAAACTATAAATGTTTCCAGGTCTGTTTGCAATGGCTCCCAAAAAATTTAATAGTGTAATAATTTCAACTAGATTGTATGAATTTTAGGATTGTAAAGTGTTTCGCATTTGCTGTTTTAGATTGTGCTAGGGTGAGCAGATGTTCAACAATTTGAAGTCTGTTTAGAATCTTCCTACCTGCTGGGTTTAATTTCAGAAGCAAGCACTGTTCTTGAAGATAGACAAATGTTATTTGTTCTTTTATCCGTGCACCACGTTGCACTAACTTTCATCATTTTGAGCTCTGTTTATGGCAGGTCATTTCTAGTCTGCATAAAACCTAATTGTAATCCTTAGAAGGAATGGGTAAATTTTGTTTCTGCATCTGTTAAATGAAATATTACAAAATCATTTGAGATATACAGGGAGAACATATTGATGTGTGATTCTGAGTTGAGAACAAAAACCCACAGATTTTCCAAATGTATTAAAAGAATACAAAGACTGTAAGAAAAGTGTTTATTTACCTTCTTTACAGGCTCGTAAAATATCAAATAAAATTATTTTACATTAATTTTTAATATATTAAATACAAGTGTATTCTAATTTTCTATGCTTAGATTTTTAAAATAATATCTATGGATGCATTCGTATTTACAATGAGTGATGACAGTTTTTCTCCTCATTGTCCTGATTCTGTTCACTTTATTTTCTGCATTATTGAATTAGTTCAGCCCTCCAGTACCACATTGAATAGAAGTAATGAGTAATGAGAACAGACCTTCTTGTTTTATTCTCTTTCTCAGAATAAAAGCATTCAGTGTTTGAACATTAATGGTTATTTAGAATTTTGTAGATTCTATCTTATTAAGGAAGTTTCCTTCTATTGATAGTATGCTAAATGTTCTAAACATAAAAGACTAGGGAACTATCAAATGATTTTTATTCATCCATTGAAGTAAAAATTTGACATTTCTAATTTATCCTGTTAATGTTTGAATTGTATTTATTGATTTAAGAATGCTAAATCAACTTTGCATTCCTAGAATGAACCTCACTTTTTCATGATATGTTAAATATCGTGATACACACACACACACACACACACACACACACACACATAGGATTTATTTGATGTATGTATTTGATGGATTTGATTTATTTGATTTACAAATATTTTATTTAGAATTTTACATTTATTGTCATGAATATATTGGTCTGTAATTTGCCTTCTTGTAATGTTCTTGTCAGATTTGGGTATCAAGGATATACTAAACTCATAAATTAATTAGGAGTATTTTCTCTTTTTCTCTTTAATGGAATAATTGGCATAGGAATTGCAATATTTCTACATTAAAATGCCTGTAAAAGCTCACTGGAAAAACTATATGGGAATAAAGTTTTGTTTTGCTGTTTTTGAGACAGGGTCTTGTTGTGTCACCCATGCTGGAGTGCAGTGGTACAAACAAGGCTCACTGCAGCCTCAGCTTACTGGGCTCAAATGATCTTCCCACCTCGGCCTCCCAAGCAGCTGGGACTACAGGTGCACACCACCACACCTGAATAATTATTTTATTTTTTGTAGAGAAAGGATATTGCTATGTTGCCAGGGCTGGTCTCAAACTCCTGGGCTCAAACAATCCCCGCCACCTTGGCTTCCCAAAGTGTTGAGATTACAGGCGTGAGCCACTGCATCCATCAGAATGAAGATTTCTTTTTTTTTTTTTTTGGTCAAAGATTTTACTTAGAGTTTTAATTTCTCTAACAATTACAGGACGTTTGTATTTCCTTTTTGTTCTTGTTTTAGCTTTATAAATTTTATTTTTCTAGGAAAATTTTAGAACATTCACTTCACTTGAATTCTAAAATTTGTTGCCAAAAGTTATTTATAATACCCACTAATGAAGTCGAAGATATTTCCATGATTAGTGATGGATCAACTATCTCTTAAGAAACTGGCCCTTTGAAGGATGCCAAGGAACCAACTCTTTCTTATGATAGTAAAAATAAAAATCAAGTTTTTCTATATAAGACACATGTTTGAGCAACCAAATAGTTGACAAGAGCTTTTTTACATATGTTTGTTGGCTGCATAAATGTCTTCTTTTGAGAACTGTCTGTTCATATCCTTCACCCACTTTTTGATGGGGTTGTTTGGTTTTTTTCTTGTAAATTTGTTTAAGTTCTTTGTAGATTCTGGATATTAGCCCTTTGTCAGATGGGTAGATTGCAAAAATTTTCTCCCATTCTGTAGGTTGTCTGTTCACTCTGATGGTAGTTTCTTTTGCTGTGCAGAAGCTCTTTAGTTTAATTAGATCCCATTTGTCAATTTTGGTTTTTGTTGCCATTGCTTTTGGTGTCATGAAGTCTTTGCCCGTGCCTATGTCGTGAATGGTATTGCCTAGGTTTTCTTCTAGGGTTTTTACGGTTTTAGGTCTTACGTTTAAGTCTTTAATCCATCTTGAGTTAATTTTTGTATAAGGTGTAAGGAAGGGGTCCAGTTTCAGTTTTCTGCATATGGCTAGCCGGTTTTCCCAACACCACTTATTAAACAAGGAATTCTTTCCCCATTGCTTGTTTTTGTCAGGTTTGTCAAAGATCAGATGGAGGTAGATGTGTAGTGTTATTTCTGAGGCCTCTGTTCTGTTCCATTGGTCTATATCTCTGTTTTGGTACCAGTACCATGCTGTTTTGGTTACTGTAGCTGACAAGAGAGGATCTCTTTTTAAAGAAATATTCTAGTTAATAATTGAAGAAGGAATAACAGAATCAGAATATCACTGTTTTGTATATAGCTGCTAACATCCAAGAGAAAGATGGATACTGAGTACCTTCTAATAGAAGTACACAAGGCCATTGCTATGATTTGGATATGGCTTGTTTGTCTCCACCAAAACTCATGTTGAAATTTGATCCCCAATGTGGCAGTGTTGTGAAGTAGGGCCTAGTGGGAGGTGTTTGGGTTGTAAGCACAGATCCCTCTTACATGATGTGGTGGTGTTATTGCAGGAGTGAGTGAATTCTCAGGAGAATGGATTAGTTCCTGAAAGAGTGGGTTGTTATAAAGCCAGGATGCCTCTCAGGTTTTCCCCTCTTTGTGTGTGTCTGCTTTCACCTTGACATTCTCTGCCATGTTGTAATGTAGCACAAAAACCCTCACCAGGAGCCAGGGACATGCCCTTAAACTTCTCAGCCTGCAAAACCAGGAACTAAATAAACCTCTTTTGTTTGTAAATGACCCAGTCTCAGGTATTCTTTTATAGCAACACAAAACAGACTTAGGCAGCCATCTATGAAGTAATGCCCCAAATTTACTAACTGAAATCAGATCACACCTGTAGATTTAATTTCCAATTTATAAGAAATGCAGACAACATGGAAACATATTAAATATCACCAGAAAAAGGCACTACTCAAAATCAAGACTATGAAAAATTCTACAGGATAAATGACAGTCTCTTTCCATAAGCAAATTGCACAGAAAAGAAACATGGAGACAGATTTTATAGATTAAAAGAGGCTTAAAGATATTTAAACAATTTGCAATACTTGAACCTTATTTAGCTCTCAATGCAGACAGCTTTAAAATGACACACTTAGCCCAATCATAATTCCAGCATTTGTGTGTGTGGGTACCAGCAAACTGAATCTAAAGTTTATATGGAAAGGCAAAAGACCCAGTATAGCCAACACAGTATTTAAGAAGAACAAAATTAGAGGACTGACACTACCTGACTTCAAGACTTACTATAAAGGTACTGTAATCAAGACAGTGGGACATTGGTAAAAGAAAACACAAACAGATCAATGGAGCAGAATAGACAGCCCAGAAATAGGCCCAAATAAATACAGTTAACTGGTCTTTGACAAAAGAATAAAGGCACTACAACAGAGAAAAGATAGTCTTTCAACAAATGGTCCTAGAGTGACTGGAAATCCACATGCAAAATAATGAATGTAGACTCAGACTACACTCTTCACAAAACTTAACTCAAAATGGATCATAGCCCTAAATGTAAAACTACCAAAGTATAAAATTCCTAAAAATAACATAGGAAAAAGTATAGATGACCTTGGGTATGGCAATGACTTCTTAAATACAACACAAAAGGCAAAATCCATGAAAAAAAAAAAAACTGAAAAACTGATACGCTGAACTCTATTAAAATTAAAAACTTGTATTCTACAAAAGATGATATCAAGAGAATGAAAAGACAAGCCATAGGCTAGGAGAAAATATTTGCAAAAGACTTATCTGATAAAGAACTGTTAGTCAATATATACAAAGAATTATTAAAACTCAACAATAAGAAAAGGACCCACACAATAAAAAAATAGACAAAAGACCTGAACAGACACCATACCAACAAAGATATACCAATAGCAAATAAACATGTGAAAAGATGTTCCACATCATATGTCATTAGAAGAATGCAAATTAAAACCGCAGTGAGCTATCTCTACACGCCTATTAGAATGGCCAAAATCCAGAACCCTGACAACATCAAATGCTGGCCAGGATGCAGAACAGGAATTCTCACACACTGCTGGTAGGAATGCAAAATGATACAGCCACTTTGGAAGACAGTTTGGTAGTCTCTTGCAAAACTAAATGTACTCTTACTATATGATCCGGCAACTGCACTGCTTAGTTTTTACTCAAAGTTGAAAACTTTTGTACACACAAATCCTGCACATGGATGTCTATAGGTGCTTTATTCATAACTGCAAAAACCTGGAAGCAACAAGGATGGTCTTCAGTGGGTGAATGAATAAATAAAACTATGGTACATCTAGACAATGAAATATTATTCAGCACTAAAAAGAAATGAACTATTAAAACATGAAAAGACATGGAGGAACCTTAAATGCATATTACTAAATGAAGGAAACCAATTTGAAAAGGCTACATACCATATGATTTCAACTGTATAACATTCTGGAAATGGCAAAACTATGGAAACAATAAAAGATCAATGGTTGACAGGGGTTGGAAGGAGGGAGGGATGAATAGGCAGAACCCAGAAGATTTTTAGGTCAGTGAAACTATTCTCTATGACACTATAATGGTAGATACAGGTCATTATGTATTTGTCAAAACTCACAGAATGTACAACACCAAAAGTAAACCCTAATGTGAACTATGGACTTAATGTGATCATTATGGACTTACAGTAAGTTCATCGGTTGTAAAAAATGTACCACTCTGTTGTTGCAAGATGTTGATAGTGAAGGAGGCTGTGCAGTGTAGAGGCAGGGGTTACATAGGTACTTCCAGTAGTTTCTGCTTAACTTTGCAGTGAACCTAAAACTGCTCTAAAAAATAAAGTTTATTTAAAAGGAAACAAAGGATACATTTGGAGATTTGGGATATTTACTGCATATTTTATGATATTATGGAATTGTTAATTATTTTAGATTTGGCAATACTGTTGTGGTTGTTTATAAACCTAAAAGCCATTTCTTCATTGGGAAATAAGGTATTTCTCTGTTAGCAACACTGTAAAAGGCTCTGAAATAGTTCCTGTCATACTTTATTTATCTGAATATCTTTTACTTCTTTAATGTTCAAAGCATATTTGTGCACGCATATATAAGGAAATGCATATCTTTATGTGTTAGTATTGTTTGAGTGGGCATTTAGTTCATTTTAAATAAGAGGAAAAAGGTATTGCTGATAATATGCTGCACAAACAAGAAGGTGAAATTGGCAGAAAATACAGACTTAAATAGTACACTTCATAATGTCTTCATTTGTTTTTAAATATGCATTTATTTTCCTGAGGATTCTTTTTATATTTCACATGTTTCAGGTTTCATCATTTTCACCTAATATAAGTACTTATTTCAGTTCTCTGCTGTGATACATATTAAAACTGTGTATATTCATCCTTTGAAGAACGCATTCATTTTGTAGGAGGAATAAGTTACTCTGCTTCCATGAATATCCAAACATTGTGATACCTAATTATAATGTGTCATGTATTTGTCAAAATCAGAAGGCTTCTTGAGGCGTCAAATGTATAAGAAAATTTCTTTGTATTTGGAGAAGTTCATGTTCTCCTTCTCTTCCCTGGCTATGGAAGACATTGTACAAGGTTTTAGAATATTCTCCTGGCAGATGTCATTATTTGTTTCTGCTCCTGTTAATGTCCAGCCTAAAACAATAACTCATGATCTGCACTGTTGCTTAGATATCTATTTTTCCTATCTGAAAGAAAGATGTTTTCTTCTTTTTATGGTAATGTTTATTAAAAAACTAAGGTCAGGATGAGGCTCTGTAATTTGCTGCAGCTGTCATATGCTGTCATAGCCATACAATTTGTAAGTCCCGTGGCTGGTGTTTAGCTGTGATAAAACCCAGTTTTGAAAAATAAGGATATTGAACTCTAACTTTTAACCAGGCTTCAGTGTCAAGGTCCCTAATACACTTATCATCTGAAAACCTATTTTCTCATGTTAAGGTTCCCTAACCTCAATCAGCAGGAGAGAGAAAAACCAAAGCTCAGTGTTTGTGTCAACCCATCTCTTCGTCATGAAACATCTAGTACAGTATAGAGAACTAAAAGTATTAGCCAATCCAAGCTAAAGTATTAAAATTATAAGTCTGAGTTATTTTCTCATTACAATAGTTTAAATATCTAGTTTGAAACTGGAATATTAAAAACCTTCAACTAACTGGTAGGATATAAACAAGGAGAATCTACTTGAAAGTTAGGAACTTTCTCCATTAAGTGGAATTAAAATTCTGCTATTGCAACTTCAAAGATAAAAATGTAATCTCAGGGCCAGGCGCAGTGGCTCACGCCTGTAATCCCAGCACTTTGGGAGGCTGAGGCGGGCGGATCACGAGGTAAGGAGATTAGACCAGCGTGACCAACACAGGTGAAACCCCATCTCTACTAAAAATACAAAAATTAGCCAGGTGTGGTGGCGAGCGCCTGTAATCCCACCTACTTAGGAGGCAGAGGCAGGAGAATCATTTGAACCCGGGCGGCAGAAGTTGCAGTAAGCCAAAATTGCACCATTGCACTCCAGCCTGGGTGACAAAGTGAGACTCCATCTCGAAAAAAAAAAAAAAAAGTATTCCTGACCTAATTTTCTAACCTATGCCCATGCTTATCAACCTTCACCTCACCTCAGTTTCAAGTCTATCATTTTACATGCCATTACTACGTATCTTAAAAACATTTGTCACTGGGGTTCTCTTCCTGAAACGCACTTCTTCCAGATTATCACATTAGGCTCCTTCTCAACCTTTAGACTGCAACCCTATAATCACCTTTCAAAAATATTTTATTCTATTAAAAACAGTTCCCTCCCACCCCCATAGTTATTCTTTTAATGTGCTGTTTTGTTTACCTAAATATATTGATAATTTTCACATATGATTTAATCTACTTACTATATATGTATTTTAAGCTCATAAACACAAAATACGAATTTCAGGGCAGCAAAGGCCCAGTATATTTGGTGTTTTCCCCCCAACTCAGAATCCTTCACATTGACAGAAAAATCAGAAAAATAGTAAATACAAAATAAATGTTTTAAATGAATAAAATAATTTACAAACGTAATACAGAAGACTGAAAGAAGGTCACATTACAAAATTTAAGTTTTTTTAACTTCGTCAAAGAAAAATTAAAGTTATAGCTGACAGATCTTGGATGGTGAGAGTCTGTGAGAAGAGAGAGTTAAAGGGCCAATAATAACACCTCTTAAAAGTGGGCATCAAGGAGGCAGGACTTCTGGAATGGAAGTGTAAAGCTCTGCAATACCTAGTCCAGGAAAGTCACCAAACAGGTGACAAAACAACAACAACAACTAAAACAAAAAGTCATTGGGTGGAATGGGGCAGTAAGAATCCAGAGATATGATATGTTACCTAACTTGTCCAATTTTCAAAAGAAAATTACATGGTAATGCAAACAGAGAGAAAAATGTGAGCCACACTCCAGAAAGTATCAATCCACACAAACACTCTGAGGGAACACAGAACACAAAGGTTGCAATCAGACAAAGGCTGCAAAGAAACTCTTATAAAAATGTACAAAGAATAAAAGGAAATCATGTTTTAAAGAATGAAAGTGTAGTTAAATAATTCAGTAAATACAGAACATCAATAAGGAGAAATGGTTTAGCCTGTAATCCCAGCACTTTGGGAGGCCGAGGTGGGCAGATCATTTGAGGTCAAGAGTTTGAAACCAGTCTGGCCAACATGGTGAAACCCCATCTGTACTAAAAATACAAAAATTAGCCAGGCATGGTGACACATGCCTGTAATCCCAGCCACTCGGGAGGCTGAGGCCAGAGAATTGCTTGAGCCCAGGAGGTGGAGGTTGCAGTGAGCAGAGATCACACTACTGCACTCCAGCCTGGGTGACACAGTGAGACTGCATTTATTAAAAAAAAAAAGAGAGAGAGAGAGAGAGAGAGAGAGAAATGGTTTAACAAAGAATGAAATGGAAACTCTGAAGTTGTATATTGCAACAAATGTAATTTTTAAGAAATTATTAAAGTGTATCAACAGCAAATTTAAACTGTCAGAAGAAAGAATCGGTGAACTTGAAGAGATACCATTAGAAATTATGTCTCTGAAGAGCAAAAGAAAAAAAAAGAAAAACAGAGCCTCAGACACCTGCGTGACACAATAAATCATGCCAACATATGCATAATGGGAGTAGCAGAAGAAGAATAGAGAAAGGGAAAGAAAAAATATTTCGAGAAATAATGGCCAAAAACTTCCTAAATCTTATTTAAAACATTAATATACACATCCCAAAGTTTAACAAATTCTCAAGTAGAATAAACACAAAAGAGATCCATACCAGCCGGACGCAGTGGCTCACGCCTGTAATCCCAGTACTTCGGGAGGCCAAGGTGGGCAGATTATGAGGTCAGGATATCGAGACCATCCTGGCTAACACGGTGAAACCCTGTCTCTACTAAAAATACAAAAAAAATTAGCTGGGCATGGTGGCAGTTGCCTGTAGTCCCAGCTACTCAGGAGGCTGAGGCAGGAGAATGGCGTGAACCCAGGAGGTGGAGCTTGCAGTGAGTCGAGATCACACCACTGCACTCCAGCCTGGGGACAGAGCGAGACTCCATCTCAAAAAAAAAAAAAAAAAGAGAGAGCCATACCTATCGTAGTTGTGGGTTGAACTTGAATTTGTGTCCCCAAAAGTATGTTAAAGGCCTAACCCCTTATACTACTAAATATGACTTTAATTGGAAATAGGATCTTTTAAGATCATCAAGTTAAAGTGAGACCATAATGAATTAGGGTCAGCCCTAATCCAATGACTGATGTCTTTATGAGAGAAATTTGGACACAGAAAAACAGACCATGTGATGGACACAGAGATAAAGCTTCAAGTCAAGGAATTCCAAGGGCTGCCAGCAGCCACAAGAAACTTGGAAGAAGCAATGAAGGAGCCTCCTAGAGCTTTCAAGATGACACCTTGGTTTCAGACCTTTGGCCTCCAGTCCTATGAGGCAATAAATTACTGTTATTTTAAGCCACCCAGTTTGTTATAGCAGCACTAAACAACTAATACTATAGTTACACTGTGTCACCAGAAAAAAACTCGAAAACAGCAAGAGAAAAACTATTTGTCATGTATAAACAGAGAGAAGAACAACAAGATTAACAGCTGACTTCCCAGCGGACAGAGTGGAGGCCTGGTAGTCATGGAATGATGTATTTAAAGTGCTAGAGGGAAAAAAAATCTTGTCAACCAACAATGCTATAACCTAAAAAACTATGCTTCAGAAATGAAGGTGAAATAAAGACATCCCTACATAAAAAAAGACTGGGAGTATTTGTTGCTAGCAAAGCAGCTTCATAGGAAATACTAAAGGAAATGACAGCAGGCAGTAACCGAAATATAGGAACCTAAATAAATATAGGAACCTAAACCAAATAAGCAGAAGGTGTTAAATAAGAAAGATTAAAACAGAAATTTACAAAATAGAAAACAAAAAAATAGAAAAAAACAATAAAAACAAAAGTCCTTTGTAAAGATAAACAAATTTGATACATCTTTATGCATTCTCAAAAGCTGTTTCTTGAAGGACAAAAAAAAAGTTAGTTACTACAATGTTCCATGGTTTTCTAAAGACCACAGTACATAAACAATGCACACTATAACTGTCGTGTTAAAAATGCATGCAGTAGGGGGTGACAACTGGAGGAAAAATACGTTCAAAAGCCTCATTCAAGGGTCAAAGAAGACTGAGAAGTACTGAACTAACTTAAATGAAACAATACCATGGAAGATGCAAATTACCAAATTAGAAATGAAAGAAGGAACATCACCACTAATCCTGCAAAAATTTAAAAGATTATAAGTGAATACTAGGAACAACTTTATTTTAACAAATTTCACAATTTATATTTAATATAAAAATTTGTAGAAAAACACAAACTTTTAAAAAGTGACTCAAGAAGGAGAAAATCTGAATAGGCCTGTAACAAGCACTTGGATTATAATTCACAATATTCTTAAAACGAAAATATCAGGTTCCACATCTCCACTGGTGTATTATATCAAATGTTTAAAGACGAAGTAACACCAATCCTTCACCAACACTTCCACAAAATCAAAAAGATCATTCTCAAAGTATTTTACGAGGTTGAGATTACCCTGACACCAAAGCCAGACAACATGTTGCACAAATTAAAACCAAGCACCTAAATTCTTCATGAATATAGATATGAAAACTCACAACAAAACATTAGCAAATGGAGTTCAACAACTTATAAAATGGAACTTAAGGTTGGTTTAACATCCAAAAATCAGTTAATGAGAGAATAAAGGACAAAAACCACATGATCATCTCAATAAACTGAGAAAATGGATTTCAAAACATTCATTTTTAAAAACTTCCAGTAAACTAGAGATAAAATCAAACTTCCTCAACCTGAGAAAAGATATCAACGGAGAACCTATAGCTAACAACATACTGATGAAAACCTGAATTCTTTGTCCCTAAGATCAAAAACAAAACAAGAACATCTGTTCCCACCTCTTCTATTCGACATTGACTGAACAGTCTAGCCAGTGAAATAGACAAGTGAAACAAATAAAACATCCAGAATTGAAAACTGTCTTTAGCTACAGGTAAAGTGTTGTCATGTAGAAAACCCAATACTATCTATAAAAACAAAAATGAAAACCGAAACCAAATAAGTTTAGTCAGATAAAAGATGCAAGATTAATATAAAAAAAATTGTATTTCTATAAACTAGTATAATTGGAAATTGAAATTATAACAACATTAATTTTAAAATTGAAATATTTGAAAGTAAATATGACAAAAGATGTGTGTGAACTCTGAAAATTTGAGACAGGTCTCAGTTAATTTAGAAAGTTTATTTTGCCAAGGTTAAGGTTGCATGCCCATGACACAGCCTCAGGAAATCCTGATAACATAAACCCAAAGTCACCCCAGAGGGATGACTTTGAATGGAATGGAAGGCAGGTTTTGCCCTGAGCAGTTCCCAGCTTGACTTTTCCCTTTAGCTTAGTAATTTGGGGGCCCAAGATTTTTCTTTCCCATGTGCAAGGCCTGTATGCTAAAAACTACAAAATATTGTTGAGAGAAATTAAAGAAAAATAATTTGACAGATATATGTTGTGTATGAATTAGAAAACCTGGTATTATTGAGACTCAATTCCCTCCAAACATCTATAGATTTAACAAAAATCCCAACAAAAATCCCACAGTATTTTTGTACAAATTCACAAGCTAATTCTGAAAATCATATGGAAATGCCACAGACCTAGAAGAGCCAAAGTAACTTTGTAAAAGAAAAAAGTTGGAGGATTAAACACTGCCTGAATTGAAGACTTATTATAAAGCTACAGAAGACAATATGGTTTTAGTACAAAGATAGACAAATAGATCAATTGAATAAAGAAACACCAAAAATAGACCCAAACATATATGAAAATATTGACTTAACAAAGGTGAAAAAGCAATTCAATTGAAAAAAAATCATCTTTTCAACAAATGGAGATAGTAAAATTTAATATCTACAAACAAGAAAAAGAAAAACTTCATGTCTCATGCTGTACACCAAATTAACTAAAGTTGTATCATATAAATATAAAAGAAAAATCCATAAAAGTACAAAGATAAATTGTAATTCATGAAAACTAGAACTTTTACTCATTGAATAATACTATTAGGAAAATGAAAACACAAGCCACATATAAGGAGAAAATAGTTACAAACTATATACTTAATAAAGGATTTGTGTCTAGATTGTATTATATAAACAACCTTCAAACATCAGTAATAATAAAACCAAAAAGTGGCACAATTTTTAGATACAACGCCAGAGAAAATGTATAATCCCATGAAAATATAGTCAACATCATTAGTCATTGGGATAACCCAAATTAAGCCATTGCACACCTATCAGAATAACTAAAATTAAAAAGACTTACCATACCAATTACTAGGGAGGATATGAAGAAACTGGAACTCTAGTATACTGCTGTTGGAAATATGAAATGATACCACCAATTTGGAAAAGTTTGGCAGTTTCTTAAGGGGTTAAATATATGTCTACTGTATGATTCAGGCATTCCATTTCTGTGTTTTGGGTTTGTTTTTTTCTCAGAGAAAGAAAGGACTAATCCATATTAAGACTTGACTTAAATGCTTATAGAAGTTTTATGTGAATAACCTAAAACTGAAAAAAACCCAATGTTGATCAACAGGTGGATGATAATAAAATATGGGTATATCCCTACAATGGAATATTGCTGAGCATTTTAAAGTATGAACTACTGATACATACAGTGTGGATGAATATCAAAATAATCTCAGAAAGTGAAAGAAGCCATACAAAAATAAGAGTACTTACAGTATGCTTCCTTCACATCAAGTTCCAGAACGGTGGTTGGCAAACATTTTTGGTAAAGGGAAAGATAGTAAATATTTTAGGCTCTGCAAGCCATGGCATCTGTCTTATTTATACTCTGCTGTTGCAGTGTGAAAGCAACCATAGATGATAGGTAGACAAATGAGTGTGGCTGTGTTCCAGTAAAATTTCATTTACAGAAACAGGTGGTTGAGCTAGATTGGACCAACAGGCCATTGTTGGCTGATCATTGTTCTAAAAAAATGTGAACTAATTTACCAGGACATAAAACAGATGAGTGGGTGTGGAGATGGGAAGAGGGCAGGAAGGAGGAATTTCAAAGGGGCATGAGGAAACTTTTAGGGGTTATAGAAATAGTAATTATCTTGATTATTGCGATTGTTTCACAGGTGCATACGTATATTAAAATCTAATAAATTGTGAATTTTAAATATGTGCAGCTAATTATAGGTCAATTATACCCAAATAAAGCTATTAAGAATCAATTAGTACATTTTACCACATTAACAGAATAAATTAGAACAACCGTACTACCATATTAATAGATGCAAAAAAAAGTAGTGTTTTTTTTAACTTGACATCCCCTCATGGTATATGACATCTAAAATAATGTTTGACAAATAGCAAATATTCAATAAAAGTAGTTATTAATATGGGAGGCAGGGGCATGACAGAAAACTATAATGGAATAACACTGGATTTTGAAGCAAGTAGGCTATTGTGAAAGTCCAAACTAAGCTATTTAATGTGTAAATAGTTAACTTATTGGCCTGGTTATCACAACCAATAAAATAGCTACATAAAGTGTGTTGTAGAACTCCTGACTTTCAGTGGCTAGCTGTTATTATTGTGGTTTTCTAAATTTAACATTTCAAAAATCCACACAGATCCTGACAAGCTATGCCCAGTAGACTTACCAGTAATTAATAATAATGAGTTGGTTACAATTTTAAACTATTTATTATGTCAACTTTCAATTATACACTAGAGAGAATATGATGATGATTTTTCAAGCATTCAAACACAGTTTTCATAGTAATTATTTTGCCATTCTTTATCATCTGTCCTCTCTCTTCTCAGCTGGAGTATGTCCAAATAAATTCCAGACATTATAGCATTTACCTGTAAATACTGCAGTAGTTCTGTGATGGATTTTTTTAATGAAAAACTTTTAAATGTGAAACTTTATATTCATTTGCTAAAGGGCTTCAAAATACCACAGACTGGTGGCTTAAACGACAGAAATTTATTTTCTCACAATTTTGGAGACTAGAAGTCTGCAATCAAGGTGTCCATTCTTCTGAGGCTTCTTTGCTTGGTTTGTAAATGGCCGTCTGCTCCCTGTGTCCTTCTGTGATCTTCCCTCTGTGTGTGTCTGTGTCCTAATCTTCTATTCTTATAAGGACACCAGTCAGATTGAATTAGAACCCACTCTAATGACCTAATTTTAACTTAACTATCTCTCTTTAAAGAACCTGTCTCTAAATATAGTGGCATTCTGAGGTACTGGAGAGTTGGAGCTTCAACATATGAATTTTGGGGGACACATTCAGTATATAACAGACAATAGAATGATAGAGAATTGTGATGGACATGGAAATAGTTGGCTCTTACCTTTCTGTACAGCCACCAACTCCTGCACCTTGAGACTGCCATAGTGTTTATACCAAAGCCACACTCCGAGTGCTCTCAGCCGATGACTAGGCACAGTGGGGACCCCAGAGCCAGGCCATTTCTGCCCTATATGGATCTCCTCTAATGGGCAATAATTGCTATGGGTCTCCTCAATGTCCTTGTTGAGACCTTCCTGGAGTTTTATCACAGTACGAGGCTCCTCCTAACATCCACCTTTCCTTCCTTTTTTCCCTTTTCTCTTTTCAAAAGTGTAAGACCTAGTTGGGCACAGTGGCTCACCCCTATAATTCCAGCAATTTGGGAGGCCGAGGTGGGCGGATCACCTGAGGTCAGGAGTTTGAGACCAACCTGGCCAACATGGTGAAACCCCATCTCTACTAAAAATACAAAAATTAGTCAGGCGTGGTAGCATGTGCCTGTAATCCCAACTACTCGGGAGGCTGACACAGGAGAATTGCCTGAACCCGGGAGGCAGAGGTTCTAAAGAAGTGCTAAACAAAACAATAAAACCAAAAAACAAGCAAGCAAACAAAAAACAACCATACACACAAAGAAGCAGGTATATCAAAGGGAACATAAATGGTTCCCAAAGCTGGAATACCTTGAGCAACAAAATAAAGTTGTATTGGATTATCACACAAGGTAAAAAATAAATATATATGAGTCCCGATTGATACAAATACGTGATTGAATAAGTAAATAAATAGAGGAGGAGGAAGAAATCTCCTGAGCAGGAGAATTTCAAATAATTTATATAGATACTGTACATTCAAGGAGATGGAGTATAACTTCCCACTCCTGAAGTGTGGGCTGTGCACAGTGACTTTCTTCCAAAAAGTATAGTATGGAATGGAGAGCAGAGGGATGAGTAACTTTACAGTGGAGAAACTGACAAACACTACCTTAAGCAGGTGACCAACATCAAGAGTATGTCATGTTGATACAGTATATACCCTTGATATGATGTGATGTAAATAGCACTTTGCTTCTAAGATAATCCCCCCAAATTAATAACCTCAGTCTAACCATAAGAAAATACCAGAGCAATCACAAATGAGGGACATTCTACAGAATATCTGATCAGTGTCCTCAGGACGATCAAGTTCTTCAAAAACAAGGAAAGTCTCCGCAACTGTCACAGCCAAGAGGATCTGAAGGAAACAGGAGAAATCAATGTAATGTGGTGTCCTGGATCATATCCTGGAGCGGACGAAGGACATTCAATAAAGACTAAGGAAATCTGAATGAAATGTGGACTTTAAATAACATACAAATCTTGGTTTATTACTTATAATAATTGTACCACACCAATGTAAGGTGTTAATAATAGGGGAAACTAGGTATGTCGTATGTAGAAACTCTCTGTACTGTTTCACAGTTTTTCTGTAAACTTTAAACTGTTCTAAAATAAAGTTTATTTAAAATAAAAAAATCTATACATCAAACTGCCATGTGGAACATGATTGCAAGAGCTAATATTTATTTGGCACTTTCTAAGCTACAAAGTACTTTCTACTGCATTAACTCATTGAATGACAAATCCATTACCTTCCAGGACTTTATGATGAGATCATGTTATGAAGCCTGTCTAAAAAAGCACATTAATAAAACATGTAACTGTCATTATTTCAATAAAATCATGTTCTGCACAGAAAAAAAAAATTAATCATAAAGGACCTGAATTTACCAGCACAGCTTTTAATTTCTGGCAAATTTCACATCTTTGCTCTGTGTGTCAAACCTGTTCTGAGCATGTTGGGTTTCTATTTTTCAGATCTCCAGTGATGTTAACAGCAGTTGTGAATTCTTAATGAAATTCATCATACATTTGCAACAAATTGCTCACCTCTCCCAACCCCAGAGAGCAATGTGGAAGTAGAAGAAAAGGAGCTGGCAATGAATTATCTCCCTCCTCACCAGAGCAAAAGGGGGTTATTGACAGACAGGCGCCTGCCAGAGATTCAACAGACACTCTGGGGTCTCAGAACCATTCCTCTCCATATGCACCTTTTTGCCCATCCTTCTTTCTTTCCAATCTCTCTCCTTGTCATACCACTTCTCCCCTCCTTCCCTTTCTTTTGTTCCTGTGTCTTTGTCTCCTCTCCTCTTCATTGCTTTAGGCCAATCAGGAAAACTCAGAAAAATCCCACATCTTTCTGACGTCTGCCTGTTGTCCTAAGGGAAAAAAAAAAATAGGTGGCTAACTCTAGATTAGAGTTTTAAAATATACACACCTGATCCCACAAATGCTCTAAAGCACTTAGTCACTTTTACAAAGCAAATTTCTCATTTCCTTATTTCATTTTCCCTTGAACATATAAGAATCAGGCAGGAACCAAATACAAGGGCAATATTAATGCATGGGATGACCTCTACCAAAAATGCAATTAAACCTTTTGATGGGTGTTTGAGGCAAATGATGGTATGTTTCTTGATGATAACTCAGCATAAAGTATAATATATAAACTTAAAAGAAAATCCTCACACAAGTTCCAAACCCTCTTGATCATAAGATAGTAAGGGGGTTCAAGGTGTAGAAGCTGTCTACACTTGTCACACGCTGGCTGAGTGACCTTAGACTGTCACAGCTTCCATTTCCTTCTTTGTAATATAAGAATATTAACAGCTGCACCCCAAGGGATCATGAAATCCAAAGACAATAATATTTTTAGAGTACACTGTAAGTATTTAATGAACGTTAGGGGAGAAAAAATTATCCCCTAATATTTATTTGGGATTTGAATAATATATGTTACATTGACCCTTGTTTCCAGATCCACATTGCATAAAAATAACAAAAATTCATCTTGATCTCAGGATAGTGCATGTTGATTTTCTATTCGGGTTTTTTGTTTGTTTGTTTTTGTTTTTGCTTTGTTTTGAGATGGAGTTTCGCTCTTGTTGCCCAGACTGGAGTGCAATGGTGTGATCTCGGCTCACCACAACTTCCGCCTCCTGGGTTCAAGCGATTCTTCTGCCTCAGCCTCCCAAGTAGCTGGGATTACAGGCATGCGCCACCATGCCTGGCTAATCTTATATTTTTAGTAGAGATGGGGTTTCTCCATGTTGGCCAGGCTGGTCTCGAACTCCTGACCTCAGGTGATCCGCCCACCTCGGCCTCCCAAAGTGCTGGGATTACAGGCGTGAGCCACTGTGCCCGCCCATATGGGGAAATTTTTTTAAACCTATTCTGACCAGGTCATGAACTCATAACACCACAAATTCCTGTTTTTCCTATAAGCAGGTTGACTCTGGTGTATTATACATTCCTTCAAGTTTTCCCCCAACTAGACTGTGAATCCTTAACAGATGATGTTGCCCCCAGACCCAGAATTCTCCATCAAAAATAAAACCCTCAAATAAAAATGTCACCAATGAGTTCCACCGTGTAGTGTCTCATCCTAACATCCGTATTTATTTCTAATTAACTGCATGAAAGCTATTCCGAATTTTGTAATTTCAAATGTTGCCACAATCTGTGGTGTTGTGAATGCAGTTCTTTGGGTGGCTCTGCTAGCTGCAATTGAATTTTCTTGGTGGTGGCCAGCCCACCACCAAGAAAAAATTTAGGAAAGATCTTTGCCATGTTTAAAAGTATTTGGTTTGGATTCTGCTACAGAGTTCAAGTTGTTTCAAGCTGTGTGTGCCGATCAAGCAAACACAATTCAGTGGTGGCCAAGAACTATAATCAAAATTGCCATACATCTTTTCTTTTCTCAAGGAATTAAAGTTTGGATCAACAGTACTAATACAGGGATTAGGTAGGATGTTTACAAAAATACATGAAAGGGGAGCATAGAATTTTTTAAGACAACAGGCTAGCCCTCCTTTGCCTTGCTTTTACACGTTAGATATTAATCTTAGAGCATTTTAGATGCTCCACTTCAGAGAAGTAAGAATATTTTCATACTCTTTTACCCTAGAGTGGCACCTCATAGGAGAGGAAATGAAAATTATATCAGCAAAGTTCATGCTCTCTCAGGCAGAAAAGGAAAAAACTTCCTATAGCTAATTGGCACGATGACAAAATTTGTGCATGATATTTTTAAAATAATTTTTTGGTAGTATGGGATAAATATTCAGATTGTTACTTGAACTTGTGATAAATAACATATTAGTTGTCTTCCCTTTTATTTTTCTCTAACATGCAAGCAATTGTTAAGAGGCATTTCTTACACCAGCAAGTGAGATTATATCAACACTGTGCCCTACTTCTTAATACGAAGACAATTCGTTAGGTAGGATTTATCACTCTTCAGGAAACACTCAAACTTCACAGCCTTCACTAAATGACAAGCACGTAGTATATGAGATCTACAACTCAGCTCATAGGCACAGCTTCCTTAAAACATGGAACTGAAACTACACAGAAACCAATTGGTTCATGGAGAAGCCTTAAGCAAGTCAACAAACTGAAAGCTGGAAAAGAGGTCACAGTAAAAGTCACTCTAAAACAGAGCTCCAAATTCAATAGGGATGTGGCTTTTTGACCTGCTACCAACAAAGATTGAAATGTTATTCGTTTTCCCCACATTCTTATGTAAATTTAACTTTCATGAAATTGTTGACTTGATAACCCTGGAGACTGGTGATGGCTCTATTAATCTATAGAATGAGTCTTAATGGTAAACTCTTCAAACAAGCTCTTTTTTATTCTCTTAACGCCTCTGTTTCCATGTAAAATACCATTTTGTGCCCCTCTTGAACTGTATTTACGGGTAGAAAATGGAGAGAAATATGAATGTTTCATACTTGCTCCCTTACCCTCGAAGGAATGAATGAACGATCCTTGAAAGCCACATAATTAATCCCAGAATGTGTGATGAAAACAACAGCAAATCTAAATGTCTATTTTCTTCTCATAAAATAAGGACAAAGAAACTACCCAATGCATGTAGAGATTGGCAGGAAACAAGGAATCAAAAGTGATTGAAAGAGTTATAATGTAAGAATGTCTTGAGCTTGGCTTGGTTATTTTATTTTTCACTTCTATAAAATTGGATATTACATTTTTAAAATGTTTTTGGAGTTTTTTAAATGTCATGGAATAAGGCAGTAACTGCTCTTAGTTCTCATTAAACTTTCTTCAATTCACGTATGGATTTCTGAAAGAAATTGATTTTTGCTATCAGTTATGTTGGACCAACTCTCCCGCTGAGGACAACTGAAATAGCTAGATACATTTTTTAAAGTTTATTGAAGGCATCAGAGAGCTATCAAATCAGTAAGGACTTGAAGGGTCAAGAATCCAAGGAGAAAAGAAGAGCAGAGAATTGAACCTGATATTTAGAAGTACTTTTACCCCAAGGCATTTTCCAATTCCCAAGCAGTGACCAAGAGGTAAAAAACCTAGCAGAAAGTAGTAGCTACTAATTTGTCTTAGTGTGGGTTTCTCTGGAAGCAGACCCTGGGAGAAAGAACATAGTGCAAGTAATTCATTTGGGAGATGCAAGGAATATCGAGACAAGAGAGAAGTGGAAACGGATATAGGGTTGGAAAGCAGTAATAAGGAGTACTCTATTAAGCAAAATACAGAGGACAGATACAGTTTAACCCTGGAGTAAGTCTGGAAAATGGTATAAAGCACATACTTCAGACATATCCCATCCAAGGGTTAAGGGTAGTGAAGTAGTTGTATACGCTTTCCTGTTAAGCATTGATCAAGGAATATTCCTTGGGGTGTTAGCTAATTCCAAAGCACTTCCAGTCTTCTATGGATACAGGCAGAGTAGTCTTCCAGACTGAATCAAGCATGAAGATACAGATACTGGAAGGTGCTGAGTATCTGGAACACCGCTATATGGTAAGGTCTGGGGTGCCTGAGAGTACTGACAGTGTCCACTACAGTTAACCCTTTGTAATGCCCAAAACAACTCACTTCCCAAGTTAAGTCTGCTCCATCCTGTCATCTTTTCTTTAAGGTTAAAATTTTTTTTAAATCAATATAAATATAGGAGTTTTAGTGAAGGACACTCCACATTGCAGTTTCATCCAAAAGTTGGAAATAATATCCCTTCTACTATTCAATCAAGACACTCCTTATAATTAGCCACTCTTTTGATGATCTGGGGTAAATCAGATCTTTATCCTTGAGGGCTCTGAGCCCCTGGTTACCATGCTCTTGTAAGGCCGTGCTTTCTGCTACTACGCAATTCTGCTTAATCACTAGATACGGAAACACAATGAACCTCCCTGCCTTCATTATGTAGCAGCAACTGTATATCTTCATGATAATAATGATTAATTTCCACTGACAGGGTAGTAACTTTCAGTGTCTTTGTACTCCTCTGTGAGAAACCAGAATGACTGGGAGAAAGCTGTAATTTTAGCTTTTGTGGAGTTCTTACTGTGTAGCCTGACAGGACCATCTCTCTCCTAGGAACTGAAGCACAAGTTCCTCAACTGAGTCACTGGGAATAACAGTGAAAGGCAATGCCCCCACTCCCACCCTTGGTCCTAGACTCTAAGGGTCACCATGGCACTTTTGGGGGGTCTGTGGGGTCACCACTATTTTCATAATAATGTTAAGATACTATTTGCCTTTATTGTTGTGTTGACAATTGCACAGATGCAATAATGTTTGGTACTGTTGCTTGGTTAAATTTATGGTAGTTCCTTATAATCTTCCATGATGTATCTGGTATTTTTAAGATCCAAACTAGTTAACTGAATGGGGATATGATAGAGAGCACCAAACCTGCATTCTTTCAGTCTATGGGGTGGCACTAAATCTGCCACTTCCCTCAGATGCATTATGGCTTCTCATTTAGTATCTTGACAAGGGAGGAATTTCAGGGGCTTCCACTGGTCTTTTCTTAGCATTTTGGTTCTTTCTCCGTAAGTCAGCTAAGCAATGTGAGACTTCTGCCAAATGATAAATATACATATCTTGATTTTGTAATGAGTGACCAGAGGATTTCCCTGGGTGCACGGATGAAAACATCAGATTCATTGTGAGACAGACTTGGGACAGGACTCCACTGATCACCTGACCTCCATAATTCCCTTTGCTGGCAAGATAACTTTTTAGTCTCCTGGGATTAAAGTAGACTCAGACCCTGAGATGAGGATTTGGGCACAGTGGGGTTTTGGGGGAAGATAAAGGAACACTAACATGCACGAAGTAATGCAGAGAACAGAAGATACATTATGAAGCTAGCTAATCCCATGGGGGAATTTCAGGGAGAAAAAAAGAAAAAAGTAAAACACACATCCAAGCTTATTCTGCTCAAGGGTAGGGGAACTGTTGTATTTATACAATATTGACCCCTTATCCATGAGGGATAGTTTCCAAGATCCCCAGTGGATGCTTGAAACTGTAGATAATACTCAATCCTATATATATGATGTTTTTCCTATACATACATACCTATGATAAAGTTTAATTTATAAATTAGGCACAGTAAGACGTTAAAAACAGTACTTAATAAAATAAAACAATTTTAACAATATGCCAGCATCGCTACTCTTGTGCTTTGAGGTCATTAGGAAGTAAAATAAGGGTTACTTGAACACAAGCACTGCAATACTGTGACACTGGATCTGACAGCCAAGATGGCTCCTCAGCGACTAACAGTCAGGTAGTGTCTACAGCATAGATACACTGAACAAAGGGATGATTCACATCCTGGACAGGCCAGAGCAGAACAATGCAAGATTTCATCATGGTACTCAGAACGGTGTGCAATTTAAAGCTCATAAATTGCTTATCCATGACTAAGACCCCAAAAGCAAATGCAGCAAAACAAAAATAAATAAATGGGACCTAATGAAACTAAAAAGCTTCTCCACAGCAAAAGAAATAATCATCAGAGAATGGGACAACTCCATAAGTCAGGTAAGCAATGTCAGACTTCCCCCAAATGATAAATATATATATCTTGATTGTGTGATGGGTAACCAGAGGATTTCCCTGGGTGCATGGATGAAAACATCAGATTCATTGTGAGACAGACCTGGGACAGGACTCCATTGATCACCTGACCCACAGAATGGGAGAAAATATTTCCAAACTATGCTTCTGACAAAGGACTAATATCTAGAATCTACAAGGAACTCAAACAAATCAGCAAGAAAAACTTAATCCCATCAAAAAGTGGACAAATGACATAAATAGACATTTCTCAAAAGAAGATACACTAATGACAAAAAATACATTAAAAAATGCTCAACATCACTAATCATCAGGGAAATGCAAATTAAAACCACAATAAAATACCACCTCACTCTTGCAAGAACGGCCATGATTTAAAAGTCAAAAAAGAGATGTTGGCATGGATATGCTGAAAAGAAAATGCTTGTATACTGCTGGGGGGAAAGTAAATTAATACAACTTCTATGGAAAACAGTATGGAGATTACTTAAAGAACTAAAGGTAGATCTACCATTCCATCTAGCAATCCCACTACTGGGTATCTATGCAAATGAAAATAAGTCATTCTATCTAAAAGACACCTGCACATGTATGTTTTTTGCAGCACAATTTACAAATGCAAAGATACGGAACCAACCTAAGTGGTTATCAACCAATGGCTGGATAAAGAAAATGTGAGATATATACACACACACACACACACACACACACACACACACACAAACCATGGAATACTACTCAGTCATAAGAATGAAAAAATGTCTTTTGCAGCATCTTGGATGGAGCTGGAGGCCAACTATTCTAAGTGAAATAACTCAGGAATGGAAAACTAAATTCCATATGTTCTCACTTATAAGTGGGAGCTAAGCTACAGGTATGCAAAGGCATATAGAGTGGTATAAAGTACTATGGAGATGCAGAAAGGGGAGCATTGGGAGATAAAGGATAAAATCTACATATTAGATACAATGTACACAAGTGGGGTGATGATACAGTAAAAATCTCAGGCTTTACCACAATGCATTTCATCCATGTCACCAAAAATCACTTGTACGCCAAAAGCTATGGAAATACACAAAATTTTAATGGAAATAAAACTTATGAATTGTTTCTTTCTGGAATTCTTTATTTAATATTTTTGGACTACTGTCGACTGCAGGTAACTGGAACCCCAGAGAGTGAAACCACATATATGAGAAGACTACTTACACCTGTAACAACCACTCATTAGTCAAGAAATATTGGAGGAGATTTTTAATTCCTGAGCATTTTTAGCACTACCATATAAACAGGTAGAGCAGCCTTCCAGAAAAATCCATTAGACACATATCTGTAGATTCAGTCCATTATTAAAGCAAGGTTTGAGAGTTTTAGATAAACCCCTGACAACACCAGCTACAGAATTTGAGAAGACTAGCAGAGTTTTCCAATTTTCAGGAAACTGGGAAATGCAACACCCACCCATAAAGGTGTAAATTTTAAAATCAGCTAGTGAAAAAAAGACACTCTACCCTCAAAGGAACAACAATAAAGTCAATAGTTAACACTTGAAGAGAAACTATGGAAGCCAAAAATCAATAAAATGGCATCATCAAAGTGCTGAAGGAAATTATTTCAACCTAAAAGAAAACATCCTTCAAAACCAAAGCAAAATGAAGTTTCAGATAAATAGCAAATTTGTCCACAGCAGACAAAACCATTTTAAGTGCTAAAAGTACTACATGTTCAAAAAAATTGTAAGATTAGATACAATATGAAATATAACAATAATTCAATTGAATATAAATGTATAAAATGCCACCTAAAAGAAAGTTTATGAGATAGGCTAAAATAAAACAAAGTTCAATGATAAGATATACGTACCTTAAATATAAGGATAAAGAGGATTTCACAGTAAAAGAATAAAATGCCATATAATACAAACACTAACCCAAACCATATATATATAGTTACAGAAATGGAAGAAAAAGTAAACTTCAAGTCAAGAAGATTACTATAAGAAAAAAATAGGATATTCCACTGTGATTAAATAATTTATCTATCAGAAAGATATATGTACCTCATAAAACGGTATATGAAATTCATAAGCAAAATAGCAGATTTTAACACATTGCTCTAGGTAACTAATAAAACAAGCAGGAAACAATATCTGTAAGGACAGAGAAGTTTTGAAGGAAAAAATTTAAAAATTCTTACCCATCGACATGTCTAACAATGTCCTTAACAACTAGAGAACACACGTTTCTCACAGGATGACATGAAGCATTTTTCAAAATTGATAATATACTGTGCCATAAAGCAAGTCTAGACAAATCTCCAAGGATCAAAGCAATTGCTTGTGTATTCTCTGACCAAGTGAAATTGTTAAAAAAAAAAAAAAACTATTTTAAGTAAAAAAACTCCAACATTTGAGTCAAAATTAGTGTGGTTGTAATAAAAGTTTCTTAAAAATTAATTGCATAGAAAGATAATAAACATAAATCATATTGAATCTTTCAGGAAACATTTAAAGATATTCTAGGATAGAAATATATAGCCCTCAAGGCATATTTAACAAACAAATATATGCTCATTCTTCATGGTCTATGTATCCATCTCAGTAAGTCACCCAATGAAAGTAAAAGAAAGAAAATAATAAAATTAAGATCAGAAATTAATTAATGAAATACCAAAAAAGCACACATTAGAAAAACATTTAAAACTATGGATATTGAAAAGACTAATAAAACTGTTAACTCCATGGGAAGGCCTTTGAGAGACAGGGAGAGAGAGAGAGAGAGATAAAATCCAAACAAATAACATCGAGAATTTAAAAATGCACAAGATGTTTAAAAAAAAAAAAAGAGAACAGCTTTCTATCAATACATATGAAGACTTGGGAGGTGGAGGAAGATGGCTGAATACAAGCTCCCATAGATCACCCCCCCACCACAGGAGCCCCAAATTTAATAACTATCTACACACACACACACACAAAATGTACCTTCGTAAGAACAAAAACATCAGGTGAGTGGTCATAGTACCTAGTTTTAACTTCATATCACAGAAAAAGGCAGTGAAGAGGGTAAGAAAAACAGTCTTTATGTTACCTTCCATTATCTCCTGGCAGCAGCCACATGGTGTGGAGATGGAATATGTGTTTTTGGGGGAAAGAGTACAGTGATCATGGGACTTTGTATTGGAACTCAGTGCTGCCCTGTCACAGCAGAAAGCCACATTAGGCAGAACTCAGTAAACCTTCACAAAGGGAGCATTTAGACCAGCCCCAGCCAGAAAGGACTCATCTATCCCAGCAGTCAGAACCTAAGTTCTGGCAAGCCTCACCACAATGGGTTAAAGTGCCCAGGTTCCTAAATAAGCTTTTAAGGCAGTCTAGGCCACAAGGACTGCAATTCCAGAGGAAGCCCTGGTGCTGTGCTGCATGTGGAGCCAGTAGACTTGGGGGATGCATGACCTAGTGAGACACCAGCCGGAGTAACAAAGTAGCAAACAGAGTGCTTGTGCCACTTCTCTCTCAACCCCAGTACCATGCTGGTTTCAGGTCTGACCGAGCATGGTCCCAGTTTTGGTGGCCACAGGGGTGCTTGTGTTGCTCCTCCCCCAGTTCCAGGCAGTTCAACAGGAGAGAGAGAGAGAGAGACAGAGAGACTCCATTTTGCGGGGAGAAAGTAAGGGAAGAGGACCAGAGTCTCTGCCTCGTAATCCAGAGAATTCTTCTGGATCTTGTCCAAGACAACCAAGGTGATACCTCTATGAGTCTGCAAGAGCCATAGCGTTACTGGGCTTGGGAGGCCCCCCAATGCAGATATGGTTGCAGTGACCAAAAGCTTAGATCAAAACACCAAAGTCACTTTGTTTGTTTGTACCTTGAAAGCCTTTCCAAAATGGACAGGTACAAACAAGACCAGACTGCAAATACTACAATAAATACCTAACTCTCCAATGCCCAGACACCAATGAACATCCATAAGCATGAAAACCACCCAGAAAACATGACCTCTCCAGATGAACTAAATAAGGCACCAGCGACCAATCCCAGAGAAACAGAGATATGTGACCTTCAGACAGAAAATTCAAAATAGCTGTGTTGAGGAAACTCAAAGAAATTTAAGATAACACAGAGAAGAAATTCAGAATCCAGAATCCTGTCAGATAAATTTAACATTTAACAAACAGATTGAAATAATTAAAAAGAATCAAGCAGAAATTCTAGAGTTGAAAAATGCAATTGGCATATTGAATAATGCATCAGAGTTTCTTAATAGCAGAATTTATCAAACAGAAAAAAGAATTAGTGAGCTGGAAAATAGGTAGTTTGAAAATACACAGTCAGAGAAGATAAAAGAAAAAAAATAAAAACAAATGAGGCACACCTACAAGACTTAGAAATAGCTTCAAAAGGGCAAATCTAAGAGTTATTGGCCTTAAGGCGGGGGGCAGAGAGAGAGGTAAGGATAGAAACTTTGATCAAAAGGATAATAACAAAGAACTTCCCAAACCTAGAGAAACAAATCAATATTCAACTACAAGAAGGTTATAGAAAACCAAGCAGATTTAACCCAAAGCAGACTACTTCAAAACATTAAATAATCAAACTCCCAATATTAAGGATAAAGAAAGGATCTTAAAAGAAGCGAATGAATTGAAACAAATAACATACAATAGAGCTCGAATATGTTTCGCAGCATACTTCATAGTAGAAACCTTAGAGGCCAGGAGAGACTGGCATGACATACTCGAAGTGCTGAGGGAAAAACTTTTACCCTAGAATAGCATGTTCAGCAGAAATATCCTTTATACATGAAGGATACATAAAGACTTCCCCAGACAAACCAAAGATGAGGGATTTCATCAATACCAGACATGTCCTACAAGAGATGCAAAAGTATGTTCTTCAATCTTAAAGAAAGGGATATTAATGAGTGATAAGAAATCACTGAAGGTGTGAAACTCACTAGTAATAATAAGCACACAGAAAAACACAGACTATTATAAAACTATAATTGTGGTGTGTAAACTACTCTTGAATAGAAAGACTAAAAGATGAACAGATCAGAAATAATAACTACAATATAGACAGTACAATAAGATACAAATAGAAACAAAAAGTTAAAAAGTGGGGGGACAAAGTGAAAGTGTAGAGTTTTTATTCATTTTCTCTTTCCTTGTTTGTTGGTTAGTTTGTTTCTTTATACAATCAGTCTTGTCATCAGTTAAAATAATGGGTTATAAGATATTATTTACAAGCCTCGTGGTAATTTCAAAACTAAAAACATACAATAAATACAGAAAAAATAAAAAGCAAGAAATTAAAACATACCTCCAGAGAAAATCACCTTTCCTAAAAGGAAGATAGGAAAAAAGAAAGAGAAGATCACAAAACAATCAGAAAATGAATAACAAAATGGCAGGAGTAAGTCTTTACTATCAATAATAGTGAAAGTAAATTGACTAAACTCTCCAGTCAAAATACATAGAGTGACTCGATTTTTTTAAAAGACCCAATGACCTGTAGCCTAAAAGAAACGCACTTCACTTATAAAGACACAAACAGATTGAAAATAAAAGGATGAAAAAAGATATTCCATGTTTATGGAAACCAAAAAAGAGCAGGTGTAGCTATATTTACGTCAGACAAAATAGATTTCAAGACAAAAACTATGGAAAGAGACAAAAAGGTCATTATATAATGATAAAGGGGTAAATTCAGCAACGGGATATAATAATTGTAAAGATATATGCACCTAACACTGGAGCACACAAATATCTAAAGCACATATTATCAGAGCTAAAAAGAGAGGTAGACCCCCCAATACAATAATACCTGAAGAATTCAAAACCCCTCTTTCAGCATTGAACAGATCTTGCAGACAGAAAATCAACAAAGAAACTTCAGACTTAATCTGCACTATAGACCAATGGGCCTAATAGATATTTACAGAACATTTCATCCAATGGCTACAGAACACACATTATTTTCCTCAACACATGGATCATTCTCAAGGATAAAATTCAACATCCCTTAATGATTAAAACACTCAAAAAATGGGGTATAGAAGCAACGTACCTCAACATAATAAAAGTTATATATGACAGATCCAGAGCTGGTATCATACTGAATGGGGGAAAAATTGAAAGCCTCTCATCTAAGGTCTGAAACATGACAAGGATGCCCACTATCACCACTGTTACTCAACATAGTACCGAAAGTCCTATATAGAGCAATCAGCCAAGAGGAAGAAATAAAGGGCATCCAAATTGCAAAGGAGGAAGTGAAATTATCCTTGCTCACAGATAATATGATCTTATAGTTAGAAAAAACTAAAGACTCCACTAAGGAACTATTAAAACTGATAAACAAATTCAGTAAAGCAGAAGGATACAAAATCAGCATGCAAAAATCATTCTACATGCCAGGTAAACAACCTGAAAAAGAAACCAAAACATAATGCCATTTACAATAGCCACACATGAAATTAAATACCTAGGAATTAACCAAAGAAATGAAGCATTTCTATAATGAATACTATAAAATACTGATGGAGGAAATTGAAGAGGACACCAAAAAATTGAAAGATATTTTATGTTCATGTATTGAAAGAATCAATATTGTTAAAATGACCATACTATCCAAAGCAACCTACGCATCCAATGTAATTCCTATCAAAATACCAATGGCATTCTTCACAGAAATAGAAAAAACAATCCTAAAATTTATATGGAACACAAAAGATCCAGAATAGCCCAAGCTATCCTGAGAAAAGAGAACAAAACTAGAGGAATCACATTATCTGACTTCAAATTATACTACAGAGCTATAGTAACCAAAACAGCATGGTACTGGCATAAAAACAGACACATAGGCCAGTGGAACAGACTAGAGAATCAAGAAACAAATCTATACACCTTCAGAGAACTCATTTTCAACAAAGGTGCCAAGATATATACTCGGGAAATGACAGTCTCTTCAATAAATAATTCCAGGAAAACTTGATATCCATATGCAGAAGAATTAAACTAGACCCCTATCTCCTGCTATATAAAAAAATGAAATAGAAATGGATTAAATACTTAAATCTAAGACTTAAAACTATGAAACCACTAAAAGAAAACATTTGGAAAACTCTTCAGGACATTGGACTAGACAAAGATTTATTAAGTAATATCCCACAAGCACAGGCAACCAAAGCAAAAATGGATAAATGGGATAATATCAAGTTAAAAGACTTCTGTAAGCAAAGGAAACAATCAACAAAGTGAAGAGACAATGGACAAAATAGGAGAAAATGCTTGCAAACTACCCATCTGACAAAGGATTAATAACCAGAATATATAAGTAACTCAAACAATTCAATAGGAAAAAATCTAATAATCTCATTTAAAAATAGGCAAAAGTTCTGAATAGATATTTCTCAAAAGAAGACATATAAATGACAGACAGGTATATGAAAAGGTGCTTAACATCAGTGATCATCAGAGAAATGCAAATCAAAACTACAATTAGATATCACGTCACACCTGTTAAAATGACTTTTATCCAAAAGTCAAGCAATAACAAATGCTGGTAAGAATATTCAGATAAGGAAACCCTTGTACACTGTTGATGGTAGTGTAAATTAGCACAATCGCTATGGAGAAAAATTTGGAGGTTCCTCAAAAAACTAAAAATATAGCTACTATATGATCCAACAATCCCACTTCCAGGTATACACCCATAAGGAAAGGAAATCAGTATATCAAAGAGATATCTGTACTCCCCTGTTTATTGCAACACTGTTCACAATAGCCAGTATTAGGAAACAGCCTAAGTATCCATCAACAAAATAATGGATAAAGAAAAAGTGGTATATATACACAACAGTGCAGTATTCAGCCATAAAAAAGAATGATATTCTGTTGTTTGCAACAACATGAATGAAACTAGAGTTCACAAAGTTAAGTAAAATAAGCCAGGTGCAGAAACACAAACTTCACGTGCTCTCACTTATTTGTAGGATCTAAAAATTAAAACAATTGAACTCATGAAGATAGAGAATATTATGATAGTTTGCTAGAGGCTGGGAAGGGTAGCTGGTGAGTGGGAGAGAGTGGGGATGGTTACTAAAAATAAAAATATTTTTAAAATATGTAAATTTAGATTAAATGAAGAGGTTGCTAGTGAAACAAAACTTACCAAAAGTTACATAAGAATAAATAAACAATATGAACTTTCTTATGGCTATTAAAAATTACATGTCTAATAGAAATCTTTAAATAGGAAAAACTCCAGGGTGAGTTATTTTCATAACTGAATCATTTGAAATATTTAAGAAAGATTTAACATCAATATTACTAAACCTATTCCAGAGAAAAGAAAAAGTGGTGGAAATTTCCAATTCAATTTATGAGACCAGCATAACTATCATATTAAAATCTGGCAAAAACATGAATTTACATACAAAATCCTATACAAAATATTGGCAAAATAGTGCAGAAATAGACACAAGTTTGATTAATTCCAGGACTCCAACATTGATTTTAGCATCTAAAAATACATCAGTGTTATTCATCACATTATCAGAATAAAGGATAAAAATATATGATCACCTTGCGTTTTGAAGAAAGCATATGATAATATACAACATGCTATAATGCTTTCATGATGAAATCTCTTATGATACTAAGGTTTTCTTAAGCTGTCTAAACACACACACACAATCTTTATATAAAAATATATTAAGTAGTGAAATATGAAAATACTTGTTCATGACATTAGAAAGGGGCATTAAAAGGTCCACACTCCATTTCTGTTCAACATTTTCCTTAGGATGCAAGTCTTAAGCAAGAGAAATAAGGCAAGAAAAAGAATTAAGATTATCATAATTTCAAGGAAGAAATAAAACTTTCCTTTAAGGTAACATGTATATAAAACATACATATCAAATCAAAAGACAATATTTCAGACTTAATAAATGATTTTAGAAATCTTGCTTAGTCACTATAAAATCAATTATATTTTCATTTAGAGGCAACAGTAAGAAAAATATTCCTAACAAAACAATTTGCAATAGCATCAAAAACATCAAATATCTAGATATAAATCTCATAATTGTACAAAATTATCAAAATAAAATTTAAAAGATCAAAGATAATGAAGGGTTTGGTTTGTCCCTGGATAAAAGGATTTGATATTGTAACGATTTATTTTTTCTTAAATGGATCTATAGGTTTTCTGTATTCCCAATGAAAATCCATAATATTTGTTTTTCAAACTTGACAGAAGCGTTTCCTGAAATTTATATAAAGATGAGAGTGGCTAAGAAGAGCCAAGACAATCTTTAAAAGCCACACAAAGTTGGGGAGTGATAGCGAAGATAGCCAACTAGATGCAGCCAGAACGAACATCTGCCACCAGGAGCTGTTGGGAAGACTGGCACACTCTAAGCAGACTTCAGAGGGAAGGCACTGAGAGTGGATGGAGGGAGGATGCAGACTCTGGGCTGAAGGAAGAGGAAGTTGGGAACACTGAGCGGGATTACTGAGCACCAGGACTCATTTCTGGCCCCCAGCAACTCCTGGGAAAGGGATGAGTTGAATAGGTAAGGAGCAGCCCACTCCTGCCACAGACCTTTGGAATCCAGGCAGCAGGAAAACCTATGATTTCCACAGACGCTGGAGTTGGCTGGGAGAGCTGCTTAGAGAGGTGAAAGGAGCAGGATTCCAGCCTGTGCGGAGCCCAGATGCTTTGGTACAGGAACTTCTGCAGTGGACCACAGCCAGGAACGCCCATCCCCCAAGGCTCACCATGTTCCCCTAGGAGGCTTTGGCTATAGAAGAACTGCTGGACCTAGACAGAGCAAAACAGCCTTGCCCATCAGACAGAGCTATCCAATCTGAGTGACCCCCTGTTTGCTGGCGTCTCCTGGGGCCCCAGCCTGCATTGGATGCCCAAGCAAGGTGCTTCCCAGAGCCCTCATCATAGCTCCTTGGCCTGCAGACTGCACCTGGCCGTCAGAGAGCTCCAACAGACCAGCCCTCAGAGATGTGTCCCAGCTCACCTGCACCCTCCTCCCACCACAGCCTCCCCAGAACCCCTTTGCCAGCACACACACATGCAGGTGGACCTCGCCTCCCCTCCCCCAATTTGTATGGGCAACTAAACTTGACAACCAACCTCACATCATTCAAAGAATAAAAATAAAATGTGAAAGAATAAACATGTAAATGATAAATAAAACTTCTAGAACTTAACATGGGAGATTATCTTCATGACATTAAAATAGGCCTAACTCAACACTTGACCAAATGGACCAAATAGACATCTATAGAACGCTCCATCCAAAAATAATAGAATATACATTCTCATCTGCACATGGCTCATACTCTAAAATCGACCACACAATCGGCCATAAAACAACCCTCAGCAAGTTAAAAATACTGAAATCATGCCAGACACACTCTTGGGCCACCGTGCAATAACATAAATCGATACTAAGAAAATCACTCAAAACCATAACATTACATGGAAATTACACAATCTGCTCCTAAGTAACTTTTGGGTAAACAATGACAATAAGGCAGAAATCAAGAAATTATTTAAAACTAATAAGAACAAAGATACAACATACCAGAATCTCTGGGTTACAGCTAAAGCAGTGTAAAGAGGGAAGTTTATCAAACTAAATGTAAAGTTTTCTTATAATAAGTTTTCTTATAAAGTAATTGTAAAGGCAAAGTTTTCTTTTTTTTTCTTTTAGAGAGAGAGTTTTGCTCTTGTCACCCAGGCTGAAGTGCAATGGCATGATCTCGACTCACTGCAACATCCACCTCCTGGGTTCAAGTGGTTCTCCTTCCTCAGCCTCCCGAGTAGCTGGGATTACAAGCGTATGCCACCACGCCCGGCTAATTTTTATATTTTTAGTAGAGACAGGGTTTCACCATGTTGACCAGCCTAGTCTCGAACTTCTGACCTCAGGTGATCGACCTGCCTCAGCCTCCCAAAGTGCTGGGGATTACAGGCGCGAGCCACTGTGCCCGGCCAGGCAAAGTTTTCTTATACAGTAATTGTAAATAAATAAAAGTATCAATAATTATACTATATTAAAATAAAGTATTCTCATCAGGAGAGATTATTAGGAGAACAAAAATGTATGCCACAGATCTATTGCTTGATTCAGCAACCTCATTACTGGGTATGTACCCAAAGGAATACAAATCATTCTACCATAAAGACACATGCATGTGTATGTTCGTCACAGCACTATTCACAATAGGAAAGGCATGGAATCAACCTAGATGCCCATTAATGGTGGACTAAATAAAGAAAATGTGGTACATGCACAGCATGAAATACTACACAGCTATAAAAAATAAGGAAATCATGTCATTGAAGCAACATAGATGCAGCTGGGGGCCATTATCCCAAGTGAATTAACACGGGGACAGAAAATCAAATACTGCATGTTCTCACTTATAAGTGAGAGCTAAACATTGAAAACACATGAACACTAAGAAGGGAACAATGGACATCAAGGCCTACTTGACAGTGGAGTGTGGTAAGAGGCTGAGGATTTAAAAATTACCTATCGGGTACTATGCTCATTACCTGGGTGACAAAATAATGTGTATACCAAATCCCTGCAACATACAATTTACTAATGTGACAAACTCACACCTGTACCCCTGAACCTAAAATAAAAGTTGGAAGAAAATAAATACATGCCACAAAGGAGAATATATTAACAACATATTTAATAAATAAAAGGCCCATATTCAGCATATACAAAGAACATATACCAATCAATATGTAAAAGACAGAAAAGCAATAGTAAGTGGCCAACGACACAATAGCAAATGGCCAAGAGTCCTTTGCAACCTATTCTCAAAAGGAGAGAATTTGTAGTCAATAAACATATGAGAAGGTGATCAGCCTCATTAACCAATAGAAAAAAATGTAAACTAATTCCACAAAGATTTACAATCACATATATATCAATATGGCACAAATTAAAAAGGCTGAAAACATTAAGCACTAGTAAAGATGAGGAAAACCTAAAACTCACTGTTTCCACTTTGGGAAACTTTGGTACTATCCACTAAAAATGCACGTGTACTTGCTCCGTGGCTTCTCAACAATCACAAAACTACACAGAAGCTGACAAGGTTTGGATCTGTGTTCCCACCCAAATCTCACGTTGAATTGAAATCCCCACTTTTGAAGGTGGGGCCTAGTAGGAGGTGATTGGGTCATGGAGGTCGGTTTCTCATGAATGGTTTATCACCATCCCTTTTGGTACTGTTCTCATGACAGTGAATGGGTTCTCATGAGATCTAGTTGTTTAAAAGTGTTTAGCATCTCCTCCTCTCACTCTTGCTCCCACTCTGGCCATGTGATGTGTGTGCTCCCCCTGCACCTTCTGCCATGATTGTAAGTTTCCTGAGGCCTCCCCAGAAGCTCAGCAGTTGCAAGAACCATGCTTCCTATACAGCCTGCAAAACCATGAGCCAATTAAAACTCTTTTCTTTATAAATTACCCAGTCTGAAGTATTTATTTATTTATAGCAGTACAAGAATGTACTAATGCAAAAGCCCAATAAAAATGCAAACATATATTGACTAAAAGGTTTGTGTAACATTATAACAGCATTATTTTATTTTAAAATAATATTAAGAAATTATTGCTAATATATTTTTTATTTCAATAGCTTTAGGGGTACAAGCAGTTTTGGTTACATGGAAGACTTGTTTAGTGGTGAGGTCTGGGATTTTAATGTACTCGTGACCTGAGTACTGTATGTTGTACCCAATAGGTAGTTTTACATCCCTCACCTCCCTCTCACCCTCACTCTTTCTGTCTCCAGTGTTCATTATACCACTCTGCATGCCTTTGCATACCCACAGCTTAGCTCCCACTTATAAGTGAGCACATGCAATGTTTAGTTTTCCACTCCTGAGTTATTTCACTTAAAATGATGGTGTCCAGTTCCAAACAAGTTGCCACAAAAAAACACTATTTAATCCTTTTTATGGTTGAGTAGTATTCCATGGGGAGTGTTTGTGTGTGTGTGTGCGTGTGTGTGTGTGTGTGTGTGTGTTGTATACATACATTCATACACCGCATTTTCTTTATCCACTCGTCAGTTGATGGGCACTTAAGTTGGCTCCGTATCTTTGTAATTGTGAATGGTGCTGCAGTAAACATACATGTGCAGGTGTCTTTTTGATATAATGACTTCTTTTCCTCTGGATAGATACCTAGTAGTGGGATTGCTGGATTGAATGGTACATTTACTTTTAGTTATTTGAGAAATCTTCATATGTAACAACATCATTTAAATAGCTACAAACAAGAAACAATGCAAGTGTAAATAAAAATCAGTGAAATTCATAAAAATAAATGATTATCTCTAAAGGAACTGAATGGAAAAGGAGTACACACATAACTTTGAATAGAAGAAGCCAAACACAGTACATACTGTATGACTGCATTCAGGCAAAACTACTTTATAAATAAGAAATTAGCTTCCTTTGGAAGGAGTGTGTAGTGACAATGGAGGGGACACAAGGAGGACATTTGTGAAAATTCTTCAAGGTCTATACTTATTATTGTGTACTTTTCTCAACATATGTTATAATATAACCAAAAAGTTATTTTAAAATATGAATTGAGAATAAAAATTATGTTAAAGTTAAAACATGTCCAAATTAATTACAAAAGAAAATAGAGGATAATTAGTGTTAGAACTACAAGGTCAATTTAATCTCTTGACTCATTTTTTAAATGATTAAAACAAAGTTTTGAAAATTCTGAAAAACTATATTATTAAGAAATGAAATAGTACATATTAAATGCAAATAAATTGGAATATCAATTCAATATATCCACAGGGCATCCTAGATTAAATGAAAAAATCTCAAGTGAGAATTTTATTATTAGAAATAGAAAGTTTGTGTGCCTGATAGAATGTAAATTTGCATTAATGGACTTAGACTAGTTTGCCTTATCACCAATTGGAAGTACCATCAGCCCTTAAAATAATTTCAATGTCAATCAAATGTTATCATTTATCCAGAGCTGCATATTCTTCACTGTTTCTGGTTGCTACAAATGGCAGCCAGGTCGCCTGATCATTTGCATTGAAACCCCCAGTGCTACCTTTGACACTGCTGTCTCTCCTCTATTGATCCTTCTGCCTTATTGGCTTTCACATCTACCACAATCTTTACATTCCAGTGACCAACCTCTCATTTAAGGCTACAATTACCCTCTCCTAGGATGCAGCAAATAGTCTTTTCACTTCTAGTCTCCTGAAGTCAGTCAAGGCTTTGCAAACTATTAGTCTTTTTATACTAAGTGGACAGCACTACTCATGTTATTTTTTATGTCAAAAACCTTAATTGGTTTCTGCTGTCTAGAGAATGAACCTTGGTATCCTTAGCTTAACCTGCAAGGCCATTCCAAATCTATCCCTGAACTAATTTCCAACAATCATGCTGTATTCCAGTAATGCAGCAGGAATGACAGCACCTCACTTTTCTGCCTGTTTCTTTAATTATATTATTTCCCTCATCCAAAATAGGTTTTTTCCCATTTTTTGCAATTCTAACTCTTCCACAACCTTTAAAACTCAATTTGCCATGAAGTGTTTTTGCTACTGAGTGACATCATGGAATAAGAACTTGTTTAAATGGTTTTCAAAATTGATCAAGTTTTTGAATGACCTGGAGGAACTTTTAAAATTAGCCAATATTGGGGTCATATCTGGAGAGAATGTAATAGGGTGCAGGTGAAGTTACTAAAGTCCATGAATCATAAAGAAATCTGTGGCCACCAGGCCAACGCCTGCCTGGCTAGTTTTGGAAACCTAATGGACTAAAATCTGAGGGCCCAGAATACAGCAGGACTGTACTGGTCTGTTTTTACACTGCTGATAAAGACTGGAAAGAAAAAGAGGTTTAATTGGACTTTCAGTTCCACATCACTGGGGAGGCCTCAGAATCATGGTGGGAGGCGAAAGGCACTTTCTTTTTTTTTTTTTTGAGACAGAGTCTCACTCTGTCACCCAGGCTGGAGTGCAGTGGCGCAATCTCAGCTCACTGCAACTTCCACCTCCCAGGTTCAAGTGATTCTCCTGCCTCAGCCTCCGGAGTAGCTGGGACTACAGGTGCGTGCCACCGTGTTCAGCTAATTTTTTGTATTTTTAGTAGAGACGCAGTTTCACCATGTTAGCCAGGATGGTCTCGATCTCCTGACCTTGTGATCTGCCCACCTCAGCCTCCCAAAGTACTGTGATTACAGGTGTGAGCCACTGCACCCAGCCAAAAGGCACTTCTTACATGGCAACAGCAAGAGAAAATGAGGAAGAAGCAAAAGCAGAAACCCCTGATAAACCCATCAGATCTCGTGAGACTTATTCATTATCATGAGAATAGCACAGGAAAGACCAGCCCCCATGATTCAATTACCTCCCACTGGGTCCCTCCAACAACACGTGGGAACTCTGGGAGATACAATTCAAGTTGAGATTTGGGTGGGGACACAGCCAAACCATATCAAGGACTAAGTAGGAAACTAAAGTTATATCATATTAGACTCCCCACATACATAGACAACCATGACCCCAAAATGAAGACTGAAGCAAAAGCAAATTGTTAACATCCACTTCTAATATGGTTGTGAGAGCTCCTACCAAACTGAGTATATGATAGACAGCATTTATAAACTCTGGAGAAATTATCAAAACACAAACTTAATAAAGGGAGAAGACTGGAGAAAAAACTGAGCAGCTTTTGGAGCAGACTCATTTGGAAGAAGGGAAGAGCATAGATCCAAAAACATTATAGTGAAATGGTTGAAAAATAAAAACCAAAGAGAAAATATTAAAAGCAGTAAAAATGCAAACAGAAATAAAGATTTTTACATATAGGAAACAGTAATTTTATTGTCACTAACTTCTCATCAGGAACCACTGAGAACAGAGAACACATGACATCTTTAAAATGCTGAAACAAAGCAAAGCAAACAACAACAAAAACCTATTCTCCCAGAATTCTATATCCTGCGAAAAAATTTTTTCATGAATGTAGGTGGGCTTCCAGCTTCTATGTAAGTTGCAGAAAGCTGGTAAAAGTATCACTCCTGCCCTAATGACAAGAAAAAGCAAGATAATCTACCAAAGTATAATGTTTCTTGAACACATCAAAAAGCCAAGGTAATAGGACAACCAACTACTCTGATATCAAAGGAAAGACAGAGCTCGAGCACTGACTTGATACCTGCAGCAGGAGGAAGATGAGATCTTCACAGGAAAGGATAAAAAGAATTCATCTGGCTAAATTTTTAATGAATTGCAAAAGGTTCAGTGTGAGCTAGTGTAAAAGAATAGAAACTCTGGAAGTCACAGACGCAGGGGACTTTGCATGCACTTACAGGCTCTTCTCCACAGACTTCACCAGGCACACAGGACACAGTGGAGGCAGGAAGAAGGCTGCAGAAGGGTCCCCTCGGTGCTGTAGGCCAGGAGGAGGGCCACAGCAAGCCCTGGAGAAAGACACTAAGTACCACCTGGGGCCCTCTTCCCAGGTAATGAAAAGCATAGGCCAGTTGGTAAAGGGTGATGAACCCTAAACCACAGGACAGAAAACAAGATCCACTGTGGTTGGGAAACCAGAGAAAGGGAAAAGAAAAATAATTTCATTTCCTTGAAGAAGGAGCAGGAACTCATCCTGCACTCAGGCCATGAGATGCCTTCTCACACAGTGAGGGGTGGTGGCAAGATCGTTGAGAAAACCCAACCCCTGAGAACCAGGGACACAAAATGTGTATAAAACTAAAGCCTGGACCTGGACAACAAAGAATCCCCTTTCGTCCCAAACCTAGCTAGTGTGCAGCAAGTAACAATCAAAAGCAATCTACCATGGGGGCAAAGATGCGAGCATAGAAATAGACTGTGTCTGAGGTTGTCTGATGTATCTATTCATGCTTTAAATTACTGTGAGATCCATTATTTACATAACCAACTAGATAACTAAATAAGAATAATGCATGTCACACTATTTCAGATAGATAGATACATACATATATACACACATAAGTAGATAGATTAGATAGATAGATAGATAGATAGATAGATAGATAGATAGATAGATAGATAGATAGATGGATGATAGGCCATATAAAATATATTAGAAGCAAACACAGGAAGCTAGTAATGTTAACTACATCACTTTTTTCATCACATTAGTTTATTCATTACTACAATGTTTGAATTATTTCAGTATTTCTATTTCAAATATTTTGTAAAAGCTAAAATTATTATTTTGATGTTGGTAAAGGTGTGGAAAGCTACTATTCTCAAGAATGGTAAATTTTAGAGATATATAATCTTTTTGGAAAACCGTTTGCTACTGCACATCGAGGGTGCTGGAAAAGTCCATTTTTCTCCTTTTTTGGCATAAATTTTAATCATAGACATATATCCTAAGAAAATAATCTGAAATATGAAGAAGATTATGTGCTCAAATATATTTAACTAAGTACTCTGCTGAATTTTTAAAACGTAATTATAATTTTCTATTCCAGAATAATTCAATTTTTATGGCGCCTCCACTTAATGGACGTGATATAGCCATTAGAAATTACTGTTATAAAGACAACACAGCAACATGGACAGTGAACGTAATGTGATGATGTTAATTTCAAAGTGGAGATTAAAAGAGGCAATGCTGCAAAACTGTGCATAGGCAAAGGGCCAAACCTACTAAATTTGTGTCCTGGAAAATTTATTTCTCTCGGCTTCAATTTTTATATCTTTGAAATGAATGTAATAACACATATATTATAGATTTGTTTTTACTAGAACTGAATGAGAAAATAACTGGAATGTACAATTTAGCTGAGTGCTCAGTATTATTATTAGATAATACGCAAACGAAATCTTATATAGATGTAAATGACACTGGAAGGAAACAAACTAATAAATATGAATAGTTTCATTGCTGATATTACTGAAATTTTTTTCTGTATTTCCCATTTTTCTCACGTTTAAGATTATTATGTTATAATTTTTAAAAGAGTATTTGAGAAAGTGTTGCTTTTCTTTATATTTGAAATATTTCTGTTCAGGACAAATATCTGCCCTGGAAATATTGTTCAAAATATTTGGAACTTTCCTTCAGTCTCTTTTCAAATGCTTAATATTGTGAAAAATAAAAATTACTTCTATATTCTACTTAACATGAACTTTTGTTGCCTATAAATGTGGCTCTGTATGAAATTCTCTCTTACTGACACTCTTAATGCTTTTGGAGAAAAAGCTTTATATTCAATGAACACATCCACATGTACAAACTTCATCTGGGAAAATCCATGCTCCAGTCATCTGAAAATTGATAGAAAGACTCTATCAAGTGCAGCTGTGGACCATGTTCCTAAGTGAGAGACTTAGCTCATTTTGGAGCCAAATATTTGTGAGGCCCCCAGATAAATCCCTGACACACCTGTGATTGATGACATTGCCCTACATCTGGGGAGTGTGACTTTATTCAAATACCTCCCTGCACTGCTGACAACACCCAAATCTATACTGTTCCAAATGAAGGCTTGAAGAAGCAATTTTCAGGTGAACTGAAGAAGAAAATCATATGTTTTCACCGAGGGAGGTAGCAAATTTATGAAAACAATATGGGTTAAATGACAGGTTTGTAGAATGATTTTGGTACATCTGCTGTGTGAGCTCTCTCTCGGCAGGGAACGGGAGGACAAAATGAGAAAAGAAAAATTTAAAAAACTCAATACTTACCCATAAAACTGAAACTGTTGTAAATAGAAATTTGTAATAGAGTTATGGATGTGCATTTGTTGTGTTTATGTATGTGTACATACATATTTCCACCCCAAAATCAAGGAAGAAAATCACTTCATTATTCTTTGAGTTCAAAATTGACACTGAAGACAGTGTTGTTAACCATATATGATGGCAGCTTCAAAAAAAGCACCTACAAAAGTCTTACGTGATAAAAATAAACTTTACATGTTGACTATTAAAATGTCCTAGGAATTTCATCAAATGGATGAATCGCTAGCCTTTTTTTTTCAAAAATGATTTCAGCTGGTAATATATTCTATTATATAGACAGTCTGTCTCTTTGGGTCCTTCTTCTGTCTAGGCATTCAAATGAATAGGTTTAGAAAAAAAATTAATAAGGCTACCTTACTTATCATTTCTGGCAATGCTGTTTTTCTAATTTATTACTACCATCTCCTCTCTCCCTGAAAAACCATTCTATGGATGTGCCACATATATTAAATGTTTGATGATACTATAGTATTTCTTAGAACTGAATGTTTGTAGTTTATAATATTTGCATTTTTATGCATTTATATTTAATATTTGCATATAAATTATAAGGAAATATATATATTACATATAATTATATATTATATTATATATAATTTATATAATATATATATAAATTATATATATTATATATATATAATATTTGCATTATAAAATGTTTGCATTTTATAATAAGAACTTGCTCCAGTCTCTCTACACACATAATCCAACCAGCAAAGCTAAATTACAGGGGAGGATTTTGTTCTATCACCTTCTTCTACAAGCCATGGGACAATCAAGTTGATGTTTTGCAGTAGAAAAAAGTGTTCTGTCATAACCTGGTGTAGCACTTAAGGGCAAATTAGCAGTAACTTAAAACCCAGGACTGAAAATGTGGTCTCTTTGGCCTCTTGATTTTATTTCTATTTATTGACACAAAAATCCACAAATTGTACAAAGATAGGTATAAGAAGGAACAGTACATATGTTCAACACAGTGAATCATTGGAGGCACTTGAAATATCCATTAATTGGGGAGCAAATTGATATGTTATTATTCAACCATTCTGTGAAATTCTATGCAATTATTAAGAAAAATAAGCTCAGGTGCCTGACATTGAAAAATCTATGAGATTTAAGAAAAGCAAAATTATGTGGTAAAATATGTATATTAATACAGTTGTGTAAAATAAATATGATATTGTTTATGTATTCATGTGCAAGTTTAAATGCACAGAAAAGATGTCAGGAAGGGTGTACACAACAGTTCATAGTGGTAGAGGTTACCCCAGGGAAGTAAGCAGGAACGCATGTGCATCTACGCATGTGTATGAGAATTCTTTATTCTATATTTTCCCATATTGTTTTTTTTTGATTTAATAGAAATGCATTCCTTTCATTTTATGTAATTGAAAATAAAATGTTACATGTTTCAAATGAGAGGCACTTTATAAATCCAAGAAACTACTAAACAGCAGTATATAAATGGTATCAAACAGAATGTGAAAAATTACTGTGTTTTAAAATTCAATAACAGGTTTTCAGATAATACAGAGATCATTTGCAGTGTAAAATTTATACTTTCTAAGTTCAAAGCTCTGAAGGCATTGGAAATAATTTAAAATTAAATAGAAACAATAAAAATTCCTGGCATCTAGCATAATACCTGGCACACAATAATCATTTGTTGAATGCCAGTAATTGTCATGAGACCCTGGATAGGCTACATCTCTGAAGCTAAGTTCTCTTATTTGTCAAATAAATTGGTTTTTCTAAATTATTTTGGATTCCACTAAGATATTTTAAAAACTTCTTTTAATGGATCATATAAGTTTTATGCCAGTATATTAATTTTAATTTGTAAAAGATTATCTGAGACTTTCAATTTTCAAAAATATCCATCTCATGACTTACAGAAGTAAGGATAAAGTTATTTGATTGCCTGTAATATTTAATTTGGAAAACATGACCATAGGATGTATGCCTCCTACTGATAAAGTATATAATTTTGCTGACAAGGCATTAATTTCAGGCTCAATAGCTTAGAAAATAATTCTCACAGCTGCCATTAGAAGTAGGCCTAGGAATTACCACTCTAGAATTGATTCCAGTTTTAATAAGGCAAACAACGACAGTAAGTCAGTAGAAAACTTGAAAATCTATTGTTTTATGTTAAATATTAAGAGGAATAAATGCTTCTCAAAAGAAAAATATTCCTTTGAAAACAGAATAGGTTTGTTAAAGACCATGGCAATAACTATGGCAGGGTTTAGGATTATATATGAGAATCTATGAAAGGAAAGCAAAATGCTATACAAGGTAAATTGCTAAATTTGTGCATCGTACCTGATTTTAAAAAATAGAAATAAGTTGTAACTGCAAGAAAGTAATAACTGCACATTGCTTTTTTAAAAATAACATCAGAGGAAAGTAAACAAATGAAAGTAATGTAAATATATAAAATGCATTATCCCACCTGCTATGGTCTGAAACAAAATCCATATGCGGAATCCTAATCACCAAAGTGATGGCATTAGCAGGTGAGATCTTTGGGAGGTAATTAGGTCATGAGAGTGGAGCCCTTAAAAATGGGTTTGAGGCAGGAGAATGGACTCTTGAAATGGTTTGGCTGTGTCCTCACCCAAATCTTATCTTGAATTGTAGTTCCCATAATCCCCACATGTTGTGTGAGGAACCTAGTGGGAGGCAATTTAATCATGGGGGCAATTTCCCCCATGCTATTCTCATGATATTGAGTAAGTTCTCATGAGATCTGATGGTTTTATGAGGGGCTTCCCCCTTCGCTCAATTCTCATTCTTCTCCTTCCTCTGCCATGTGAAAAAGGATGTGTTTGCTTCCCCTTCCACCATGATTGTAAGTTTTCTGATGCCTCCCTTGCCCTGAAGAACTGTGAGTCAATTAAACCTCTTTCCTTTATAAATTACTCAGTCTCAGGTACTTCTTCATGGCAGTGTGAGAACAGACTAGTACAGCTCTGGAGGCAGGAAAGCTAAGGCAAATTTCACACTGACCTCCTAGACTAAATCAGCAGGAAAACCCCAAAATTCCATGCCCAAGTAACAAAAGGATCAGAGGCTACCCCCTCTGCAAACCTCTCCCCTTTCTGCCTCACAGGTGAGAAATGGAAACTACCTCTGACTGGTCCCCTCCTGCAACCAATCAGACTGGTCACGGGCCTAGTCTTCATTTGCATAGGGATGTCACTTTGTAACTTTACTTCGGCCCTCTGATTGGTCCCCTCCAGCAACCAATCAGAATGGCCATTGGCCAATTCTTCATTTGCACAGGGGGTAAACCAAGTAACCAATGAGAAACCTCTAGAGGGTATTTAAACCCCAGAAAATTCTGTAACCAGTGCTCTTGAACCACTTGCTCAAACCTGCTGCACTCTATGGAGTGTACTTTTATTTCAAAAAAATCTAAGTTTTCGTTGCTTCATTCTCTCATTGCTTTGTGTAATTTCTCCAATTCTTTGTTCAAAATGTCAAGAAAGTGGATGACATGTAGTCAAGACCCTCCACCGGTAGCATATTTTGGTGAGCCAGCCAGGAGGTAAGCCTGAAGTTTGTGATTTATTTTTCTTCTCTTTTTGTTTTTCCTTTTTTTTCTCTGCTCCATACAGGGGAACACTTTTCTTTCTCTTTCTGTCTCTTTTTTCCTTTCCAAGGAAAAAAGACCAAGGGTCTTTTCAGGACCCTTGGTGGACAGCACCTAAACATGGAGGCAACTGCAGGTTTCTCCCCAGAGCCACTCTCCTGAGAAACTGAAAGATTTCTGTGTGGAAGTACCTGACCACCACTGCCTGGTTCAGGTGAGGGATCTGAGGCCTTCTCCTTTTTTTTTCTTTTTTAGTCTTTCAGTGGCCATTTTCTAGTAGCTCCTTAGTAATTGAGGGCAACAGGCCAGGGCCACTCTCCAGTGTTACCTGAAGGCCATGGAGTGAATGGGGTAGCTGACCTGCCCAGAACAGGGAAGGACTCTTCTATCTTTCATAGTTATAGTCCCTTATCCCTACATGTGATACAATTGGCAGCGGCAGCTCATCCAGGGCAAACTCACACACATATCAGGTAACTTAAATCCTTTTTTCTTATGCTAAATTATTATTTGGAGTTAGCCTGTAATAACAAAAGATAATGTCTCTTAGGAGTTTTGAACTCCCTTCTCCTGCTCAATCTATTTGATTGGCTAAGGACAAGAGAAACCCACCTAACCCCCTAGCTATGCAGAGAAGGTTATAGAGAAAAGAGATTTTTATATAAGAAAGAATCCTGTATGATGAATTTTTGTCCTAAAGTAAAATGACCAGTTGTTTAAAAAAAGGGATGTTTAGGACACATCATAAAGCCCAAACATATCGTAGATGGTCTGTGTAAGTCATGAAAAAGATTCATGAAGGGAATATATTTTTTAAATTCTGTACAATTTAATGTGGATTTCTTGCCTAAGATTAAAGGGTTTAAGAATTAAGTGGGATAGGAAAAATCCAAACGTTTGAAAAAGTTGCAGGTTTGTGAAAATTAATTGTGGAAGGGATTCTGTGTGTAAACATATTGGCTAAAGTTAGAAAGAAAATGTGTCCTTATCAAAATGATAATGCTAGAAGTCAAGACCTTCATCCAGGGTCAAGAAAGAAAGCTCACAGTAGGTCATCAGTGGTGGAGAGAAGCATTCCAAAGTGGTCCTGGCACCCATCTAACGTCAGAGATGTCTGACACACTAAGATGGGGCCCTAAAAAGGGGGACACCCCTGGGGACCCCAACCAGGGCCCAGAGTTTTTCTAGTGGGATGTCCCAGGCATCGATTTGGGTCACCTAATAAACCCTACGCTTTTCAAAGTCTTTTTTTCTTTTCTAGACCACTGGGGGAAACTCTCCATCCATTCTACCTGATTCTCCGCTAGGCTACATTCTCAACCATTGGAATCAGTTTGACCCTGATAATCTAAGGAAAAAACATCTGACTTTTTATTGTAATGCTGTTTGGCCGCATTACCAGATAGGAAGCCAGGAACAATAGGTGGTCAATGGTAGCCTTAATTATGATATCATCCTGCAGTTACATCTATTTTGCAAAAGTCAGGGTAAATGGTCAGAAATCCCAAATGTACAGGCCTTCATAGTCCTATACCAAAATCCAACAATCTGCAAAACTCCCAGAACCTGCCCCACAAAGGAAAGTCCTAAGGCAGAACTAGATATTGGAGGTGACCCCCTTTTACAAGGGCCACCTGTCTCTCAGGGGGAATTGCAACCACCCCCATATAGCTGCTTGCCAAGTGCTCGTGAGACTAAAACCCAAGGGCAAACACTAGGGACCTTGCTAAGTCCCTTCATACTCATAGGGGAACAACCTATTCAAGTCTCCCTCCAGCCTTTAAGGAAGTAGCAGGAGCTGAGCGGCCAGTCTGAATGCAGGCCCCCTTCTCTATAACTGACATACAACAATGTAAAGAAAAGCTAGGAAGCTATTTTGAGAACCCCAAGATATTTGCAGATGGGTTCCAAACTTTGACTTGTTCTCTAGGTTCATCCATGATGTTACAAATGGTAGGATTTCATTTTTTAAGGCTGAATAATATTCCATTGTATATATATATATCACATTTTCTTTATTCATTCATCTGCTGATGGACATTTGGGTTGTTTCTATGTCTTGGCTTTTGTGAATAACACTGCAATTAACATGGGAGTGCAGATATCTCTTCAAGGTCCTGATTTCAATTCTTTTGTATATATACCAAGAAGTGGGATAGCTGGATAATATGGTAGTTCTATTTTTAGTTTTATAAAGCAGAAAAAAATGAAGAGCAAAAAAAAATCTAACTGTTGGGAATAAAGTATTTCAAAGGTAGCTAAAATGAGAACACTCATAAGCATGTATATGAGACACACTGCCAAGTACATAATCCATGTCATAGAAGAAGGAAATAAAATAGTTGAAAATTTTCAAAGAATATTTGGAATATTGCGAATTTCCAAAAATTGATTCACAGTATGTGAAGACATACCTTTGCTTTATTTGATGAATAAAGAAAATTAAAACCATAACTTTGCAATCATATTCTGTAATTAAAAATCATTTAATACCAAATGAAATTAGGCAAAGGGATCTTGTGAAGTGTTAATAATAAAAGTATTATGTATTAGTTTCTTTGTTTCTATTGGAAGTCTCGTGGGCCCATAAGGCTTCTTTCCACAAAAAGAATTGTCATAAACAAACATTAATTTTTAAAAATTGTGTCTGGATGAAAATGAAACAAAAATGTGGGAAAAAGAATATACAAAATTCAGGAAGTCACAAAAGCTTTCTCAAACATATAGCTACCCACAGGCACTTCCAAGCTGATGGAAACGAAATATCCTGCACCCTACCTGTGAACCTGTTCGAAGAAAATGACTCCACATAAAATCATTAATACTATAAGGTAGAGAAACTATACAGTAGAATTAAGTGTAGAAAAAAAACCTTTAAGTCTCTGACCTAACATCTTTTACAGTATCTTTCTTCCACAGTCTTTAGAACAATAAAACTTCCAAAACAACGACAGTTCAGAATACCTCGCTGAATTGTCTATGTGGTGCCAACTCAACTCATCATCTGGAGACAAAAGAGAGGTGGACACAAAAGCTTTGATGAGCAGTGATAGGACATAAATTAAAGCAGATTCTACAAGAAGAGCTTCTGAAGTGTATTCCAACAATTTTGAAGAAATTGTTCTTGTGCCCAGGAATAATCTTATTGAAGGTGAAGTTTTCCTCTCACTGACAACTCTTCATAAAAATGAAACATTTTGTTTTCAAATAGATCCAAAACAAGGTGGTGAGATTTAGGCTGAGGCTGCAAAAGTGACTATAATAGACCTCAAAGAGAAAGCATGTATTACACTGTTTTCTTTCACCTAAATTCTCTATTATTCCAAAAATGTCTTAAAGAATGAGTCTTAGAGTCTTGCAAACAGTTTCAGCAATAACTAAACTTCTGCTTTGCCAAATAAGCTTGGATGGTTGTATGAAAAGCATGCAGAAAATAACCAAGCCACTAGCAATATTCTGACCCTGGCAGCATTTTTTTAAATTATTAGCATATCGTCTTGTTACTTCATTTGTATTGGTCGGTAGAAAAAACCTGCTATTTCTTCTTCTTTTTTCTTTTTTGAATTCTTTTCTTATGAAAAATACAAAAAAAGAGATGCTTCCATGAAATGTGAAAGTTAAAATTAATTAAAATCCATGAAAATGAATTAAAACCACACCCACCTTTATTAACTTCATGCTTACTTTTCTCTTTTACTTAGGTTAATAAATGCTTTTTAAAATCTATTGGGAGGGGAGAGGCATCCCTGCCTTTGCAAAATAGAATGTATCTGAGCATATTATGTTCAGAAAAATAGAAGATGCTTCATCTCAACCCCCATAAATAAACTTTCTTCCAAAAATGTTGATTATGAACAGATTTTCCATTAGGTAATTAAGTAACAAAGAAAAGACCTGTAAGGGTATGAAATTAGATCTTCACTTAAGACGCTCAAGAATGTTTTTACTTCACCGACTTATTTAAACATTGCAGAAGATATTCTGTTTTAAAAATAGTAATATTTAGCAAATTTGTACTCACTGGCATTATGAGGGTCTTCAAGCAATTTGCATTTGGTTTTTATCATTACCATTTCTTCATCCTTTTCCACAATGTTATGTTAGTTTTGTATTGCTGCTGTCATCAATTACTGCAAACTTACTGGCTTAAAAAAACACAAATTTATTGTCCTACGTTTCTACAGATCACAAGTTTAAAAAGACTCTGTCTTAGTTTGTTTGTGCGGCTATAACAGATTACCTGAGACTGGCTAAATTATAAAGAACACAAATTTATTTTCTCATCCTTCTGGAGACTGGGAAAGTCCAAGATCAAGGCACCAGTAGGTTCAGCTGTCTGGTGAGGGCTTTTCTCCACTTCCAAGATGCTGCATCCTCTGGAGGGAAGGAACACAGTACCCTCACATAATGAAAGGAATGGAAGGATGATAAGGGGACCGAACTCCGCCCATCAAGTTCCTTCATAATGGCATTAATCTATTCATGAGGGCATATGACCTAAATATCTCCCAAAGAACTTCACCTCCCAACACTGTTGCACTGGGGCTTCCGTCTCTAATACACTAATTAAGGGGTATACATTCAGACCATAAACAAAGAGGCTAAAATCAAAGTGTCTGCAGAGCTGCATTTGTTTCTGGAGGATCTAGTGAAGAATCAATTTCCTTAACTTTTCTAGCTTTAAAAGCCACCTGCATTCCTCGGCTGGGGGTTCCTTTCCTCCATCTTCAAAGCCAGCAGTGTCTGCCTGAGCCCATCACATGCCATCATCTCTTTGGTTCTCTCTTCAGACTCCCTCTTCTATTGTAAAGGACGTTTATTATTACAATCCAGGATAATCTATTTCTTTTAAGATTAGCTGATTAACAACCTCAATTCCATCTGCAACCTTAACCCCCCTTTGCCATGTAATTTAACATGGGCATTACTAAAAGAAAGAGAAAACCATTCCTAGATCAAAATTGCCATTCTAGGCCAGGTGTGGTGGCCCATGCCTGTAATTCCAGCACATTGGGAGGCCAAGGTCGGCTAATGACTTGAGGTCAGAAGTTCAAGACCAGCCTGACCAACACGGTGATACCCCATCTCTTAAAGGTACAAAAATTAGCCAGATGTGGTGGCATGGGCCTGTAATCCCAGCCGCTCAGGAGGCTAAAGCAGGAGAATTGCCGGAACCTGGGAGCTGGAGGCTGCAGTGAGCCAAAATCGTGCCACTGCACTCTAGCCTGGGCAACAAATGGAGACTTCATCTCGAAAAAAAAAAAAAAAAAAAAAAAAAAAAGCCATTCTGTAGGTCATTAGTTCTAAGAGTAAAGTTTATATAGGATCCCCAATATCGTTAGAATGGCTAATTCAATAATAAGCAGACAACTTCCTAATTCTTACATAACTTTAGAAGTCCTGATTCTTTCTAAGGAGAGTAAACACTGGTGAAAATAGAAAGATGCTTTGTGCACTGAGTATGATGAAAGTTGGAGGTATGCAAATTTGTAAGTACAGTAGTCACGGGGCAAAATTTAATTCTTTTACACGACAAAATTCTAAGACCTTTTAATTCCCTTGCCAAATGGAGATATCAATACAGAAATAAATAGCTAGGAAGTGGGCTGGCGCCAAATGATGTAAAGAGATAAGTAGAATCACTATTACCAGCAAGAAAGAGGGGAAGTCTGGAAGAAAATACATGATTAGTGAGGACGATTTAAACCCAATGTCCGCAAGCTTATGACTCTGCAGTGCAGAACTCTTATGTAATTGGTGAATATACCCCGTCCTGAGGTGGAGGCCAGGCATTAATTTCCCTGTTGAGTCTGCTTTTGCTCTACTCTGAGCAAAATTCTGCAAATGCCATTTCCTGTCTTATCCCTCTTCTACTTCCACCTTAACTCCTTTTTTCTAAACCGCTGCCATCTCAGCCCCATCCCACCATCCAGGATTTTTAGTCACATCCTGTAAGAATGGTGCAAAATTGTGTGTGTGTGTGTGTAGACACACATATATGTTTTTGTATATATGTATATAAACTTTTTATATATACATATACATAAACTTTGATATATATACATATAAGTTTATATAAAAGTTTATATAACATTTTTTATAAAAAACATTTGTATGTCTATATATGTATATATATCAAAGTTCATGTATATGTATATATATATAAAGTAAAAGTTGACCTAGTGATATAAAACTTGACAATAATAAATAGAAATTTTAACTCACATCTCTTAGTGGCTGAGAGAAGAAGCAAACAAAATTAATCAATAAAAATAGAGAAAATTTAAAGGCCATAATTGACCAAATTGACCTACTTGATATTTGTGGATTGTTCTACCTACCAACTGTAGAAAACACATTTTTTTAACTGTGCCTAGAATATTTACCAAAGTAGATCATATGCTGAAAAAACCGGCAGGCTTCCACAAATTTCAATGGATTCTGATTATATATAATATGTTCTCTGACCAAAGTGAAAAAAATAGGAACAAATAACAGAAAGGAAGCTAGAAAGTTTTCAAGTATATAAAAATTAAACCAGCTGGGCACGGTGGCTCACGCCTGTAATCCCAGCACTTTGGGAGGCTGAGGTAGGTGGATCACGAGGTTAGGAGATCGAGACCATCCTGGCTAACAGGGTGAAACCCCATCTCTACTAAAAATACAAAAAATTAGCCAGGCGTGGTGGTGGACACCTGTAGTCCCAGCTACTCGGGAGGCTGAGGCAGGAGAATGGCGTGAACCCGGGAGGCGGAGCTTGCAGTGAGCCGAGATCGCACCACTGCACTCCAGCCTGGGCGACAGAGCGAGACTCTTGTCTCAAAAACAAAAAAAAATTAAACCATGTACTTTGAGATATAATTTCCATACAATGTTGTGCACAGATCTTCTGTGTGCCACACACTGAATTTTTTTGCATGTGCACATATCTGTGCAATTGTCCAAATCAAAATACTTAATGTGTTCATCACCCCAGGGTGCTACTTCTAAATCAACACCTTTCCCCAGGAAAACTGTTCTTACTTCAAATAAAATGCATTTATTTTTTCTTTTGTTAAATTATATATATATATATATATATATATATATATATAAAATCATGAGGTAGGTACCACTTTTGTGTATGGTTTATTTTGCACAATATTAAGTCTTTAACTATATTGCGATACGTATACAGAGTTTGGCTTTTTTCAGTTCCTATGTAGTATTCTGTTGAATGACTATCAGAATTTATATTTCCAATCTTTTTCAAGGGACATTTGCATTACTTCCAGTTTGAGTACATTATGAATAAAATGGCTATGAATATTTTCATACATATTCTTTAGGGAAAAGGCAAATTAATTTTTCTTGAGTGTATACCTAGGAGTAGAGTTGCTGGTCTACATTAGCTTCAGTAGATAATGTCAAACAGTTTTTTGGAGAGGTTAAATCATTTTACACTCCAACAAGCAATATGAAAGCCCCCGTTGTTCTTTCTTTTTGTCAACACTTGATAATCCCCGTCTTTTAAATTATACTCATTTTTTAAATTAAATATCATCATAGTTTCAATTTGCATTCCTCTGATGAGTAATTACATTGAACGTCTTTTTCTGTGCTTATTGACTATTTGGATATGTTTGCTTTTTTGCTTTTCCCTCATAGTTTTGTAGGCATTGATAAGACTTTGTCATCTGGTGTTGAATTCTTTCCATTTTTATATGTCTGAAAATATCTCTATTTCGTTCTCATTTTTGAAAAATATTTTCACTGGTAATGGGATTCTATGTTGATAGATTATTTTCTTTGAGTACTTTCAAGGTGTTATACTCCTCTCTCTTGCATTGTTGCCAATGACAAATCTACTGTTATCTTTGTTCTTCTGTAATTGCCTACCTTTTTATTTTTAATTTTTTTGGCATGTGTTAAGTGACATGAGGCTAGTGTTAAGGTATTCTCCTAAATATTTTGAGCAATTTGATTATAATATGTCCAGTGTAGTTCACTGAGCTTCTTGGATCTGAAGGTTTATAATTTTCTTTAAGTTTAGAAACCTTTTAGTGATTGTTTCTTCAAATATTTCTTCTGTCCCTACTCTTTTCTTTTTCAGATTCTCCAGTGATATGTATATTAGGCTTCTTAAAGTTGTCCCACAGCTCACTGATGCTCTTTGCAGTTTTTACTTTAATTCTTCTCTCCATGTTTCATTTTAGATAGTTTCAAATTCAACAATCTCTTATTCTGCAAAATCAAATCTCCCACTAATCCAACCCATTGCATTTTTTTCACCGCAGACATTGTGGCTCACATCTCTAGAATTCACTTAGGTCTTTTTATGTCCTGTATGTTTATTCTTCTTCTTCTTTAGATATAGTAAACATAACTGTTTTAATGTCCTTGTCTGCTAGCTCTAATATCTATACCAGTTTTGGGTTAGTTTCAATTAGTTATTCTCTTCATTATGTTTTATCTATTTTTACACGTCTGGAATTCATTTGATTGGATGTCAGACATTATGAGTTTTATCTTATTGGATATTGTATATTTCTGTATTCCTATAAGTCTTCTTGAGTTTTGTTTTGGGATGCAGTTAGGTTACTTGGAAACACTTTGATTGCTCGTGTCTTGCTTTTGTGATCTGTTGGGAAGGGCCAGAGCAGTGTTCTGCATAAGGCTAGTTATTCTGCAATGCTGGGGCAAGATCCTCTGGAATTCTATATTCAATATCTTGAGAGTTACAAGCTGTTCTAATCTGGCTAGTGGCAACAGACACTATTTTTGACCCTGTTTAAAAACTGAATACTGCCTCCTTAAATCCATTCCAATGATTACTTCCCTGACCTTGACTGGTTTTCTCATAAACGTGCTGAGAGATAAACTGCTGAACACTAGAAGGTTACTGATCTCTGATGTTCTCTTTCTGTGCATCTCTCTCTCTCTCTCTCTCTCTCTCTCTCTCTCTCTCTCTCTCACGTTCTCTCTCTGTAACATTTTCCTCCAATACTCTTTCGACAACTTTAGCTGCCTTTAGTCTCCCTGGACTCATCTCCTCACTCAGGGAGTTCACTTCACCTGGTTTTCCCTCTGCATTGTTGTCTCAAATATCCCTCAGGGCAGTAAGTTGAACAACCGTAGGGTTCACCGTTTTTGTTTTTCATGTCTGAAGAATCGCTGTCTGCTTTTACCTGACACCTAGTGTCTTGAAAAACCATGTTTCATATATTCTACGTTACTTTTTTGGTTGTATCGTGTGAAAGGATATATCCCATTGAGATGGGATAGTTCCCTTGACTCCTTTGTGGGACTCATGAAGGGGTGGCTCACCTGCTAAGCCCACAGCTCACAAACCCCTTGTGGGAGTGGGAGCACGCAGGTGAGCCCGTGCAGAGGCTGGGAGGAGTACTTCCGGGTGCCGGCAGGAGTAGACTGCTGCATGGCCCCACGGCAGCATTTAGGGGTTACCTGCGACCCCCAGAGTGCCAGAGGGCAGGTGTTAAAATGCGCTCCTTTACCTCTGCCATCCATGGACAGTTTAAGCATTAAACAGCTCAGTGGGGGGTCAGGGTGACAGCCTCTTGCACCCACACCCGGGTCCTTGTCAGGCGTCCAGGAGGAATGCGGTCACATGAACAAATTGGAGGGTGGTGAATGTGGAGGATTTTATTGAGTGATGAAAGTGACTCTCAGAAGGATGGGGAGCTAGAAAGGGAATGGAGTGGAAAGGTGGTCTTCCCCTGAAGTTTGCCCATCTCCGGCCAAAGCCCTCTCCAACCGTAGTCTCCAATGTCCAGTTGCTTCTCCTCCTCTCGACATTCAGATTCTTCTCCTTTCCTTCTCTCATGCCGCTCTGCTGCTCTGCTGCCCTTCTGCCAGTGGAACTTAGGGTTTTTATGGGTACAGGATGAGGGGTGGGGCAGGCCACAGTAGTTTTGGAAAAGGCAACATTTGGGCAGGAAAACAGGAATGCATGTTCTCATTTAGGGTCATGGGTCCAGGCTTGAGGATGGAGCCCTCACCAGGGACCCCGCCCTTTTCTACCTAGTATCTCCCTGCCCCCTGTTCATATCACTATCCCTATTACTGCATCTGCCACAGAGGCAAAGTCCTTGGCATTTCATTTTAATTTTATTCTTTTATTTTTAACATAGAACATTTCATGATTTTAATGAAGCTTATCTATGATACTTTTATGGTCTCTTGATTTTATATAGTAAAAAGTCCATCCTACCCCCAAATCCCCCATAAATGTTTTTAAGCTATTATTGTATTATTTTATTTATGTTTTTTAATTTAATTGCTATGGGATTTGTTTTGGTAAATTAGATGTGTATTCTTTTTTTTCAGAAAGTTAATCGATCATCCCTCTGCTAAGACATTCCACTTCTATTATCTATTAATGGTTTATATCTGCCAGCATTTGATTTCATACTATTTATTCTGGCACATTGAGTTGTCTGTCCCTTACTAAACCCATGCCACATTGTTTTAATAATTTATTTTTCAAAGTATGTTTTAAAATTGATGATGTCTATTACATATAATTCTTTTCTTGGAAAACCTTGGTTAACATAGGCTTAAAATGATTTGGAAGCCCTCACCTCACCCCTGACACAGACACAAAGAGATATACAGAAAAGCCATATAAATAAATATATGCATGTGTGTGTGTGTGTGTCTGTGTGTGTGTGTAAACAGAAACACATGTCTGCATTTTGATTGTAATTACATTGAAAGTATATGTAAACACAAACACATGTATTTTTATTGTAATTCCATTAAAAGTGTAAGTAAGTTTGAGGAGAAGTAAAAACTCATGTTCATTTTGACCATTTCTCTCTACAAATATAGTACTCTTTCATTGTTTTCAAGTCCTCCTTTTGTGATTCATGGCCATCATACTCTACTGTGTCATTAGTTCTGACAGTTCAATGCATTGATTTTGCATATAAAACACAGTCAACTATAACCTACAGCCAGTTTTTAAAAATTAATTGCAATTCTTATTTATAATTTCTTTTATGTTATTAGAAGAATTTCTCAAAATGTTATATAATACATAAGAAATTTTTAATTTTTTTTACTATAATAGGATATCTTTTAGTTTAGGCGTCAAAAATTAGATTCTTATATAAGGAAATAATAGGTATTATAAAATAAGAGCTATATTACTGGCAAAGAGTTTCATATGAAGGCCTTTTCTTCAAACATATGGCCATTATTTTATATCTTTGCAAGTTAGACATGAAAGGATTGAGAAATAGTTTCTATTATACATAAAGTGACAGTGTAAGAACAATTATAAATGACCAATAAAGGTTGGTCTTAGTGTGACTGAGCACAGCAAGCTGAGGACATGCCTCTCTAAATGGACTCACAGCTATCATTAGGATCCAGCCTAATGTTTTGGATTTGTCACCCCAAGAGTGCCAGAGCTACCAATTTTTCAAAGAGATCTGAAAATTTGGGGTTTTTTGTGAAAATATTAGACCTTTTAGTATTGCCTCTGGTGCAAAAAAAAAAAAAGCAACAACAAAATAAAGCAAACAAACCTCAGTGCAAATTAAACAAAGCAAAGCATATCTGTGCTCTCGATGTGACTTGCATGGCAGTGGATTGCCACCTCTGCTCTGCTCTGCTCTAGGATTTAGGATGACAGCATCAGTTTTCCTCATTTTTCATACTAATGTAGTAGCATTTAATATATTTGCTCATTTTAATGTTTCCTTTGAGAGTTTAATTGAATTTAGCCATAGTAAACTTATCTTTAATACACTACTAATATCTAATATTTTCTTTAGAATTTGTAATATGTGCATAACCATATGAGAAACTGGGCTGTAGAATAGGATATATATATTGACTAATTGGCTATGTATGTGTGCTACTATATATTTATCCTGGTACTCTTTAATACTGTTCCAGAAAAGACTTCTGCAAGCTTCTATTTATGATGTGAAGCTTGACTAATTGACTATACATATTTACACTCAGAGAAGCTTGCAGAAGTCTTTTCTGGAACAGTATTAAAGAGCACCAGGATAACAAAAGCTAACATTAAGCTCCTTTGGCATGCTTGACATGACACTGAATGTTACACGTACTATCTCATATACCGGGGCAAAATACTGCTCCTCAGACCTGGAATTTAAAACTGACTTGAGCTTCACACTCTGTTCCTAATTATTGCTTTACTATCAATCCATGGACCCTAAAGGAGCTACAGGCATAGCTTTCTTGTTTTCTTACCATTTACAGGTGTTAACGTTATACATCAGTCTACTTACAGTGCTGAATGTCAATAAAACAATAAAATGTGATGGTTGTAACCATAAACATGAATGTTTCCTGAGTTAGGATCAACAAATAGAATTATCAAGCTAGTATGAAACATTGTTCCTTTATCAATAATTTTGAAAGGAAAAGGACTTTTTATTTGACTTGAAGGATCATTTTCAAATTTATTTGGCTTGAAGAATTATTTCCAAAGACCTTGCTGTCTTAAGAAAAATGCATTGAAATTTCAAAATCTTTCTTTTGAAAAATATGCATTAAAAGAGCGGTTCTTAAATTTGGGCATTCATTAGAATCTCCTGGTAGGCTTGTGAACACAAGGGTTCGCTGGGCCCCACCCTGGAGTTTTTGAATCAGTAGATCTGGGGTGGGGCTCCATAATTTGCATTTCTAATGAGTTCCCAGCAGATGCTGAAGCTGCTAGTCCCAGCACCAAACTTTGAGAGCCACTGCATTAAACCAAGGAACAATCCCACCTGGGAGTTATCTAATCTCTAGTATCTGAGTAATTCTTTTCCTCTACTATGAAACACTGAATTAGTTTAACATGAATGAGATTTCTTCCACATGAAAAGCTTGCAAACACTTAATTGGGTATTTTCCATAAAACGTTTGTTGGTACTGATCCAGAACCCCGAAACCTTCATGTGTGTCTCTCTCATGGCTGTTCAGGGACCTGCCATGCTGAAATACAATAGTGGTCCACAATCCTCCTTCGAAGTTCTAGAAAGTCCCAGTAGGTGAATTTTATTGTGGTGTTTGCCCTTCCGAATCTGTTCGCATCATTGCATTTTATGCTGCTCCCTATTCCCAAGAACACTAAGTCTCATTAAAGCAGGAAAACATTGCAATTGAAACCACCAAAGAAGCCAAGGGTATCCATGAGACACTGATATTTGTCTTCTCCCTCTTTTTCTGATGTTTACTGTATCTAACTTACAACAGGGAATAAATGCAAACAAATTCTTACTAAGAGAAACAATAAGTTGGGAAGAAAATCAAGTGGGACAGAAGGCACAGAGTCATGAGTTAGGCTGGCATTCTGTGCAGCAGAATAGAAAGGGATGGGTCCTCCTAGAGATGTCTATGACAGGACATGTATTGTGCAAGAAAGTGTACAGGACCAGACCAGGAATCAGAGAGATCAATCAACAAAGCTGCTCCCAGATCACTAGAGGGTTTCAATTATAATGGGACCAGGAAGAATTAAATAACTTCTAGAAATCTGCTGTACAACATTGTACCTATAGTCAACAATACTATATTGCACTAAAAAAAATTTGTTAAGAGGGTGGATCTCATGTTAACTGTTCTTGCCAACATAAAATAAAGTTTATATATATATATACACACACATTTTTTAAAAAGGATGAGGTCAGGCACAGTGGCTCATGCCTATAATCCCAGCACTTCGGGAGGCCAAGGCAGGCGGATTACCTGAGGTCAGAAGTTCGAGACCAGCCTGGCCAACATGGTGAAACCCCATCTCTACTAAAAATATAAAAATTAGCTGGGCGTGGTGGCACACGCCTGTAGTCCCAGCTACTTGGGAGGCTGAGGCAGGGGAATCACTTGAATCCAGGAGATGGAGGTTGCAGTGAGCCAAGATCCGGCCACTGCACTCCAGCCTGGATGATAAAGTGAGACTCTGTCTCAAAAATAAATTAATTAATTAAAATTTAAAAAGGATGAGACATCAGAACAAAACATAAATTCTGTTTTGTAGGTGGGTTCATGCCAAGTCAGGTATAACTGTTTCACTCATACAGGTTTGCATTCTGTAGGTCTGAGAGGGTGTAGAAATCATAAACAGTGAGGAAGGAAGATAGGAAATCATGTGAATTTGTTTGTTTTGGGGAGACTCTGTGAGGAGGATGTATGTGATTAAATGTTTGTATTATAATGTGGACCCTCTGCATATGCACACACCTGTCACTGCATTATCATAGCCAAGTTGTCTTGCTATTCAGCACCTTTTAAACAATGCAGATCCTTACATATTATTGATTACCTCAGTTTCCCTATCTTGCTGTGGTGCTTTTTTTAGGTACTTGACCAGATACAACCATATCTCACATGATTAATACTTCAATTGGCTTGGAGTAAATTACTGTCAAATCGTGTGTGTATCTACAACATTTGAATGAGAGATGAGAAAATATTTTCAAAGTAAAATAGATAAAACAATATTATGATCATTTTACTTACCACTACAGCTCTATTACATAAAGAAATTGGAAACTATGGTCCCTGGAGGGCCCAGGAGGTCTCCAGGTGTCGGTGAGACCCCTAACCCTACCCTGTTTCCAGGTTCTTGACACTGTCATGAGAAAGAATTCAAGGACGAATCAAAGCAAAGCAAACAAAAGGCAAAAGGGTTTTATTGCAAAACGGAAGTACACACTCGAGAGGGGCATGTGGGGGTACTCCAGAGAGCAAGTCGTGCCTGACACAGTTCAGTTTTCTATTTTTATGGGTTTTTCTAATTAAGGAGTAGAATAATCATGAGGTTTTAGGGGAAACAGCAGGAATTTCTTGGAATTGAGGTGTCACCCATGTTGATACCAAACATAGGTGTCCTCAGGTATGTCACGGTGCTGGTAGGTATGTGGTTTAGCGTGATGATAATGAGTGTATAATTAAGTCTGGGGTAGAGCCTGGGTCCAATCCAGCTCCGTCTTGGATGTAGCCCAGGGGTTTCCAATCTTTTGGCTTCCCTGTGCCACATTGGAAGAATTTTCTTGGGCCACACATAAAATATGCTAACACTAACGATAGCTGATGAGCTAAAAAAAAAAATAACAAAAAACAAAAATCGCAAGCAAATCTCATAACGTTTTAAGAAAGTTTACAAATTTGTGCTGGGCCTCACTCAACGCCACTCTGGGCTGCATGCAGCTCATGGACCACGCGTTGGACAAGTTTGAATTCTAGCCAGTTTCAACTAAAGTAGTCCATATCCTGTTTGTTAGGGTCTTATCAGCCCAGGCTCTTCTTGTAGCTAATTTTAACAGCTCCTTTCTTGTCGGTCATGTGAAATCACTGTTTGGCATTTTCTGTTTCACCTGTAAACACCCAGTGCTGCTATCACACTACCACTTGCAATAGAATGGGAAATAATTTCTTTCTTCCCTCAGAAATTACTTTAAAAACTAGACTAGAAAATTTGATATTTTGGCAATATTCAAATCATCAAAACCAACAAAACTGTTGATTTAGTGAAATCAATAGAGCAACTACCAGTAATATGCTTTAGAAACCATACTATATGCATCTTATAAGTAGATAAAATTCACAAGAAGAAATGATTGAAATCAATTTATAAAAATGACAGGTGAAAACATCATCAAAAGTTCTCTTTGTTTTGTGACTGTATCTGAGCAGTGTCCAAAAATTTCATATCAACCCTAAACAATACCCAGATTTGATCCGATTGTGCCACTGTGTCTTCAAGTCTTTAGTCATAGAAAATGCAATTCCTTCACTTACTATCTCTTCCTCTATCCATGGGATACTAAATTCCCCTTCTTTTATGAAAATTTTCAAATGTAACAAGAAATACAGAAAACACTCAAATCGGCCCTCATAGACCCGTTACCCAGCATTTATACATATCAGCATATGACCAGACTCAACTCATCTACTGACCCATATATTTCAGCCAGAATACATTTTAAAGCAAATCTCAGACATTAGGGCATTTCAACTGTAAATACTTGAGTATGCTTCTCTGAGAAGACTATTTTCAAGTAACCACCATACTTTAAAAGTCAGTAATTTCTTACTATCATGAAAATATTTCATTTACTTAATTCCTTTGAGTCAGAATCCCTAAAATTCCATGTATTGCATGAAGTTGTTAGGTCTTTTTAGTCTCATTTGTTTTATAACAGTTGATCCTTGTTTTATTTATTCCATTGATACATGTAATCAAATGTCCCACAATCTGCATGTAAGTGATTACTCCCTTGTGATATAGAAATTAACTTTCTTCTATTCCCTGAATATCCTATAAACTGGCATATGTGGAGGACTTCTTAGAGTCAGGCTCAAGTATTTTGACAAGTATACTTCACATGTGCTGTTTCTCACTATTTTTAAAAACATAATTTTTTTCTTTTTTCTTTTTTATTATCTCTATATCATTCCAATTTTAGTATATGTGCTGCTGAAGTGAGCAGCTATTTTTTACTTCTTATTGCTTCAAATCACTGAGACCCCATGATATCTGGTTACCCTATATTTAATTGTAATGGTATCTCACTGAGGTTTTTATTTGCATTTCTCTGATGATTAGCGATGAACATTTTTTCATGTTTTTTGGCCACTTGTATATCTTCTTTTTAGAAATGTCTGTTTATGTTCTTTGCCCATTTTTTAATGGGGTTTTTTTTTTGCTTGTTGATTTAAGTTCGTTATAGATTCTGGGTAGTAGACCTTTGTCAGATGCATAGTTGGCAAATATTTTCTCCCATTATTATGGTGTCTGTTTGTTGATAGTTTCTTTCACTGTCCAGAAGCTCTTTAGTTTAATTAGGTCTTACATTTGTCATTTTTGTTTTTGTTGCAATTGCTTTTGGCATTTTCATCATGAAATCCGTGCCTAGACCTATGTCCCAAATGTTATTTTCTAGGTTATATTCCAGGGTTTTTATGGTTTTAGGTTTTAAGACTTTAAAACATCCTGAGTTTATTTTTTTTTATATAGATCTTAATCATGTACTAAAGGAAAGTAAAACATTACTTACCCTCCCTCTTTTTAGCATAATAATGAAATTGTTGAAAAAAAATGAAGTCTTTTTTTTAAATTATACTTTAAGTTTTAGGGTACATGTGCACAATGTGCAGGTTTGTTACATATGTATGCATGTGCCATGGTGGTGTGCTGCACCCATTAACTGGTCATTTAGCATTAGGTATATCTCCCAATGCTATTCCTCCCCCCTCCCCCCACCCCCACAACAGGCCCCAGTGTGTGATGTTCCCCTTCCTGTGTCCATGTGTTCTCATTGTTCAATTCCCACCTATGAGTGAGAACATGCGGTGTTTGGTTTTTTGTCCTTGCGATAGTTTGCTGAGAATGATGGTTTCCAGCTTCATCCATGTCCCTACAAAGGACATGAACTCATCAATGTACAGGTTTAATGCTATTTCTATTAAACTACCAATGTATTCTTTTACAGAATTAGAAAATACCATTCTAAAATTCATATGAAACCAAAAAAAGACCCCAAATAGCCAAAGCATTCCTAAGCAAAAAGAACAAAGCTGCAGGAATCACACCACCTAACTTCAAACTACATTACAAGTCTACAGTAACAAAAGAGCATAGTACTGATATAAAAACAGACACACAGAGGAATGGAACAGAATAGAGAGCCCAGAAATGATACTGCACACCCGCAATCATCTGATCTTTGACAAAGTCGACAAAAATAAGCAACGAAGAAAGGACTCTCTATTCAATAAATGGTGCTGGGATAACTAGCTAGTCATACCCTTTCCTTACAGGAAAGGGATCCAGTTTCAATCTTCTGCATATGACTAGCTAGTTATTCCAGTACCATTTATTGAATAGAGAGTCCTTTCTTCGTTGCTTATTTTTTGTCGACTTTGTCAAAGATCAGATGGTTGCGGGTATGCAGTATCATTTCTGGGCTCTCTATTCTGTTCCATTCCTCTGTGTGTCTGTTTTTATATCAGTACTATGCTGTTTTGTTACTGTAGACTTGTAATGTAGTTTGAAGTTAGGTGGTGTGATTCCTACAGCTTTGTTCTTTTTGCTTAGGAATGCTTTGGCTATTTGGGGTCTTTTTTTGGTTTCATATGAATTTTAGAATGGTATTTTCTAATTCTGTAAAAGAATACATTGGTAGTTTAATAGAAATAGCATTAAATCTGTACATTGATTTGGGCAGTATGGTCATTGTAATGATATGAATTCTTCCTATTCATGAGCGTGGAGTGTTTTTTCATTTATTTGGGTAGTTTCTGATTTCTTTCAGCAGTGTTTTCTAGTTCTCCTTGTAGAGATCTTTCACTTCCTTGGTTAGCACTATTCCAAGGTATTTCATTTTTGTAAATGGCTATTGTAAATGGGATTGCGTTCTTGATTTGGCTCTCAGCTTGAATATTATTGGTGTATAGAAATGCTGCTGATTTTATACATTGATTTTGTATCCTGAAACTTTACTGAAGTCATTGATCAGTTCTAGGAGCTTCCTGGTAGCATCTTTAGGATTTAGAAAGGGTTACGGAGGAGTTCTTTCTTCTCAAATTTTGGAATAGTTTCAGTAGGATTGGTACAAGCTCTTCTTTGTGTGTCTAGTAGCATTCGGCTGCAAATCCATCTGGTCCCGGGCTTTTTTTTGGTTGGTAGGTTTCAGATTTTCAATTTCTTCCTGATTCAATCTTAGGAGGTTGTGTGCTTCCATAAATGTATCCATTTACTCTAAATTTCCTAATGTATATGCATTGAGATGTTCATGCTAGTCTCTAAAAACCTTTATTATTTCAGTGGAATCGGTTGTAATGTCATCCTTGTCATTTCTCCTTGTGCTTATGTGGAACTTCTCCCTTTTTTTCTTTGTTCATCTAATTGTGGTCTATCAATCTTGTTTATTCTTTCAAAGAATCTACTTTTAGTTTCATTGATCTTTTATGTGGATTTTTGCATCTCAGTTTTATTCAATTCTTCTCTAATTTTCATTATTTCTTCTCTTCTGCTAGCTTTAGGGTTGGTCTCTTCTTGTTTTCTAGTTCCGCTAGAAATAATTTTTTAATTTCTGCCTTGATTTCATTGTTTACCCAAAAGTCATTCAAGAGCCAATTGTTTAACTTCCGTGTAATTGCATGATTTTGAGATATCTTCTTGGTATAGAATTCTATCATTTTTTCATCTATGTATTTATTAGCTGGATTAGTGTAAAGAGGAACTTTTCCTTCCAACTAGTTGTTTTCTTCCATTTTAAGGTACTTTATATTCTTCGAATTTGAAGTACATTTTCCTGCATATAGGAGTCAAAATTGTTGTCCTGTCCTGTTTTTGGATGTTTAGTCATGCTGTACTTCAGTGCCTGGGAAATGTTAAATAATGCCAGTAACAAGCCAGATCATCCCAATGCATAAGTTATCCTCAGACTTAACATCCCTTGCTTTAGAAGCTTCATTAATTTTTTTGGTGGTATTAAATTTTAGAGCCCACTGGGGTCCCATTAAGTTATCATTTTCTTATGTCCTCTTCTGAGTTGCCTATCCCCAGGGAGGAGTTTGTGTTCCAAGAGAACTTGGGGTGACAAAAGAGAGAAATCATCACTTTTAGTTACAAGTTAACTCAGAAAGAGGACATTTTGCAAGAATAACCATAAAATCTATTATTCTCAATTTTCATAAAATTTGACTGAAGCATTCTTAATAAGTAAGCTACACTAAAAAAAGTAACTGGCTTCTTTTTTTTTTTTTTTTTTTTTTTTTGCCACTTGATGAATCACAGTGCTCATGAGGGTCAGGCTTGCTCCCAACAGACTAGTTAATATCATGAGGAAAATAGGAAACAACTCTAGAACTTCTGCAACTTTACTCTGATGACTGTCTTTAAAAATGTCCTTAAACTTGGGAGAGTAGAGAAAGATGGTACATGCTTCCAGTAAAATGACTCATTAAAAAAGATCTGACTGGGAGAAAAGAAATGCACATATTTGAACAACTACAATAACAAAGATCTGACGGCATAACAGTCAGGAAAAGACGTTCACTATAGCAGTTGATTTTGCAGATCCCCAAGAGGCTGAGCAGAGAGAGGCTCCAAATATGGCAGGGGTAGCCTTCACAAGAAAATAGAGACTTGTTTGAAAGTTTGTGCAAAAAGTAAATTGGACCCCAACCTGGGTAGCCTAATGCTTACTTCCATTCACTCCATAATAGTCTGAGATATATTCTTAGGAGAAATTAAACCTGAGGGGTTTTATGAAATATCTAGAGTTCATTTTAATGAGAGAATATAGTGGTTCTCTACTGTCTCTCTCGCTGTCAGAGTGTACATATGCCTGATTCTTAGCAAAGGCAGATGCACACTCTTTGGAAATGGGATAAATGGAAGGGGGGTTATATTATACCTATTTAATGATCACTTACCTCATAGGGTACCTCGATATTCTTCTTCTAGGATTTAATTTGTTCTGATACTTTGGAATTAAAACTCAGAACTCTTTACACCTACCCCATTATTTTTAGATAATGAATCCAAAACCTCATTCCTCTTGTATTAATCTGCCTTATTTTTCCTATTATCCCTTTGGTCCTTCTATTTAAAGAAGCCCTTTTTTCCAGGGTGCCATACAGCTTTTCCACAGCTGTACTGTGTGATACAAATAAAAATAAATTGTAAAATCTGAGTAATAAAATACATTTATTATTAAACAGCTACCCATGTGTCAAGGTTTCCTTTCCTGAGAAAGGAGTGCTTCTTACCCCAGTCACTAGGAATTTCAAAGGGGGCACCCAAGTAGATAAGGCTGGTCCTCATGTGTTTGTCAGATTTATGTTTCAAGATTTATACAAGCCGAAGTGTTTACTCATCCATATGCATTTAGGAAATCCATCTTTAGTTTGCATTATGCAAACACGTGTTAAAGGGAGTGAGAGCAAGTTCTCCAGAGGTATATAGGACTCTGAATAAAGAGGTGAATCAGGATATAAAGCCAATATTTTAAAAATGTCATTGCTAGTAGAAAATCCTGAGAATTCCAGCTTAAATATGAATTCAGAGATAACATTTGCCAGTGGATTACCTGCTAAAATCAATAGTCTGGTTTTCATTATGGGCTTGAGCGAGTCACAGGGAACACATTCGGTATGGCATCAGGATATAGCCATTATAAAACTTTGCATCACTGTCTACCTGAAACCCATGTCTCAACTTCCAGAAGATAGGACCGGGACTCTTTTGTGCACAGAGCAAACTGGATCACAACCTAATGCTTACTTTCCCTTCATTGCCCAATAGCCTGAGATGTATTCTCCAAGAGAATATATCTCCTAACAGTATATCTCAGGCTATTGGGCCTAAGGTTGGGGTATTGCATCAGGGTACAGCCGTTATGAAATCTTAGCATCACTCTTACCTGAAACCCATGTCTAATCTTCAAGAATATAGGACCAGGATCATGTGTGAGCAAGAATAAATTTTTGGCTGAGTGCAGTGGCTCACACCTGTAATCCTAGCACTTTGGGAGGCTGAGGCGGATGGATCACAAGGTCAGGAGATCGAGACCAACCTGGCCAACAGGGTGAAACCCCATCTCTACTAAAAATACAAAAATTAGCTGGGCGTGGTGGCACATGCCTGTAATCCCAGCTACTCGGGAGGCTTAGGCAGGAGAATAGCTTGAACCAGGGAGGCGGAGGTTGCAGTGAGCCGAGATCACACTACTGCACTCCAGCCTGCTGACAGAGCGAGACTCCGTCTCAAAAAATAAATAAATAAAATAAAATAAAATAAATAAATTTTCTCTGATAAATTAATACCTTCAGATGTTTCCATTGAATTCAATCCTTCTGATGAGTTAGATTTTGGTTATTGTGACTCATAACAAAAATGAAGTTGACACTGTACAACACAATGGTAACTAAAATGATAATTATTCCTAGAACATATGTAAGCAGTCTTTCATACAGACTGTCTTCTGGCTATGAGTTGTTTGTGTACTTATTTGGTTGTGCTTTCTTTTGAGGAAGGAGAGAATTCACTGGAAATAACGGAACTTCTTGTTTCTCTGTATGTACTTGTTTTTGAAATTGAAGTTTTAAGGAGAAATGGGTTACTATTGTTTTAGAGACCTGTTCTAGTGAACATAGACAACTTCTAGAAATCACCCCTTGCGCAGTTCCTTTCACAGCCCTCCCTCACCCTGACCCATCCAACTTGATCTGTGTGTTAGGACCAGGCCCCAATTTTCAAAACAAAGAGTCTCCTTACCCCTGCAATGGCTAATCCCAAACTTTCTTGTTCTGTGATGATTTTTATACCCACCTCAGACCCCATAGAGTGAATGTTTGTTTGTGTGGGAATGTGTTATCTTTACCCATTGAAAAACCTAAACTCTATCTTGGACTAATTCTAGGTTATTGTCACCTTGTCTTCTTATCTTCTCAGAATGTGAACAATTCCTCCCCTATCTATATGGTTACCTTGAATACATTTATAGAGTGAGACTGTGTTTCCCCTGAGCTTTCTTCTTTGTACCTGATGATTGCCTGGCTAGAGGGAGGTGGACGGAAGGAATCATGCATTCTTCATCCTTTAAAAAGTAAAGCAACTCAGATTTAAGATGTCACACTGTTTTATTGGAAAGTATAAAAAGAACTGTTTTACGATGTCATTACAATGCCACGGTGCAAGGGCTGGCTCTAAAAAATACTTCTGCCTTGGGAGACCAAATAGTTTAAGACAGAAGCTATCAAATGATCTCATGCTAAAGTGTTTATCTGTCAATCGAGAATAGAATTGATTTCTCTAATGGGAAGTCTTGTCATGCATTTATTGAATATTGAAATCACCACTGTGGAAATTAATACTGAGGGGAAAATTCATTTGATAATCTAGTTAAGGACACATGTTCCAGACTGAAGAAAGTTTAATCTCAACAGTCAGATAAAGACAAAAAACATTATTGGAAAACTTTATCTCTATCCTAAGGGTCTAGCTGCCCCAAAATGCATAAAATTAATAAAATGTTTTATTTACTTTGTTTTAACTTAATAATTATTCTCTTGGATGAACCAATCAAAAATCCAAACAGATAACAAAACTCTAAGTTCCAAATAGTGTTTATCTAAATGAAAGACATTTTCGGAGTAATATGTATAATTAACATAGTTTTCTTTCTTCTTTTAATACTTTGCTGTCAATAGTTAGAAATGTGATTAAGACTACATTCAAACTGGATCACTGTTACAAACTCTCCAATGGTTTCTATTGCATTTAGAACAGCATTCATCCTTCTACCATGAAAGTTTTTTGCATTATATGGATCCATATCAAGTTCCAGGTCAGAGCATTTGCACATGCTGTTGCCTTTGCCTGGAATGCTTCTCTTCTCCATTCTTCACTGAGATTGGCACTTTTTTCTATCTGGATTCTCTATCTAGGACCTTTATGAATTTATTCATAGCTTTTAAATCTCACAATTATTTTATTTTATGTTTTTTTATCTGTTTGTTTGTTTGTTTGTTTGAGATGGAGTCTCGCTCTGTCGCCCAGGCTGGAGTGCAGTGGCACAATCTCGGCTCACTGCAACCTCTGCCTCCCAGGTTCAAGCAATTCTCTGCCTCAGTCTCCCGAGTAGCTAGGATTACAGGTATCCACCACCACACCCGGCTAATTTTTGTATTTTTTAGTAGAGACAGGGTTTCACCATCCAGGCTGGTCTTGAACTCCTGACCTCATGACCCACCTGCCTTGGCTTCCCAAAGTGCTGGGATTACAGGCATGAGCCACTGTGACTGTCTATTTTATTTTATATTTGCTTTTTGGTGTGTCACCCTATGACTCAGAATTTAACCTGCACAAGGACAGAAATTCAATGTGTTCCCTATTATTTCAGTGCCACGTTGGATAGCCTCTGATTCATTGAAAGCAACCAAAATATAATACATAATTGAATGAATGAAAGGTTTTAGGGAAACTTTGTAAAAGTGCATCTCATTCTTTTCCTAAGTATATAAACTTAAGATAAATTTGTAAAATTATGTGTTCAAGTAAGTATTCAACTTCTATCCACAACACAAACGACCATATATCACTCTTTTCTACAAAATAAAGATGCAAACTGATTAATTATCTCTTCTCCTCCCCCTTCTTGGAGCATCAGGTAATATTATGAAATTTTATGAAGGGAAACAACCACTTCACGAGCATGTGATAGGTATTTACATATACACTTCATTCCATACATGAGCTTTTTAAAAGGGTCTGTCCCGTAATAGGTGGTTTTGTCTAACGCCAGGTATTTGGATTGTGATCCTTACAATGGGAACTAGATAAGAGTAGAAAGGACGCTGTGCAAGTCAATCCTTAATGCTAGCAGCCCAAAGGAAGGGTGTTTCCTTATTGATTTGATAGGGAGCCAAGAATTACCCTAAGACATATCAGATGTGTAATTAGAAATTTTATCTTTAGAAATCTTCAATTCGATCTTCTAAGCTTCAAGTGCTATTGTACTTCAGGAAAGTACTTCACTGAAGCAAGAGTGTTTGTACATATTTTGAAAAAGATTTACCTTACACTTGTAGACTCTATTTCTGACTCTAGACTAGATACTTAAGCAGAATTACTTTAATAACAAGTACCCAGTTAGATAGATAATTTCTTAATAAATTGCAATTAAGATTATAGTACATGTGATTTAAATATATTATAATACTTAAATTGAGATAAGTAAGCCAAATTAGTTCGTTTCCACCAACTCACACCTTCAGTCTCCCATCTAGGTAACCACTGTTATCCCTGTGATGTATGTCCTTCAAGACATTCTGTAGCATTTGTGAATGCGCTCATCATCCTATGCTGAGTTTGCTTTCTTTATCTTAATGCAATATTTGTTGGTATTTTTAGATTGTTTTTTCATATCATAATATACCTTGCAAATCACTATGTGACAGATGTCATGTTTTTGAACCCTTCCTAACATCACATAAAATTGTCATAACGATATTGTTGTTCCTTAATTACTTTTTCATTCCCTAATGCTGGACATACAGGCTAATATCATAGAGAATAATGGCAGTGTCAAAAAGTAAGCACATTTAAAATTTAATAAATACTATCAAATTCCCCTTCATAGTAACCATACCAATTAATATCCCCCACTAGGATTCCATATATCTGACATACACTTTTACCCACACTTGATATTGACAATGTATTTTTAAATTATCACTCTGATGAAAAAAATATTTTAACTAGTTTCTGTGATAAAATGTATGTGATGGTTAGTTTTATGTGTCAACTTGACTGGGTCACAGAATGCCCACGTAATCTGGTTAAACATTATTTCCAAGTGTGTCTATAAGGGTGCTTTGGAAGAGATGAGCATTTGAATCGGTGGACTGAATAAAACAGATGGCCCTCTCCAATGTGGGGCCCAAATAAAACTAAAAAACAGAAGAAGGTTGAATTCATCTCTCTCTCTTTCTTTCTTTCTCTCTCTCTCTCCTTCTCTCTTTTTACTCACTCTCTTCTCTCTCTCTCTCACTGCATGAGTTGAGACATCATTCTTCTGCTACCCTTGGACTGGAACTTATACTAACAATGCTTGTGCTTTTCAGGCCTTCAAACTTGGCCTGCAACAAACATCACTGGCTTTTCCAGATCTCCAGCTTGCAGATAACGGATTGTGGGATTTCTCCGCCTCCACAGTCACATGAACCTGTTCCTTTATAATAAAATGTATATATATATTTACATTGGTTCTGTATCTCTGGAGAACCCTAATGAATACATGACTGAAATTTGCATATATGTTTATTGAAGTTTGGTGTTTCATCTTTTGTGAATTGTCCTTTTCCTATCCTTGTCCATCTTTATTGGATTAATATGCTTCATAAATATTTCAAATGTTTATCTTTGGAAATCCTGGGTATTACTCTTTCATCTGTTACACAGAGTAAAAAACGTTTTTTCCTGTGTTGTCATTTATATTTAACACTGTTGGACTGCTTATTTATATATTATTCATTTTAATGGAATCAAATTTACCACTGACACTTCTCATGAAACGCCATGTAAAATTCTTTTTGAAATCTGTTAGATATTTTACTGGGAGCACATTGAATTTATACATTAACTTAGAGAAATGTAATATATTTTAAAAATACTGAACGTTTCATTCAGGCAAAATGGCATAGTTTTGGTTTGCTTGGTATGTTTTTATGTCTTCAAAAAATTTTTTAATCATATATTTATGTGACATTGTGTAATATCAAAAAAATTCATAAGTGCAATATATGAATATAGCCAAATGCAGAATGGTTACATTTTTTTCTCCAAGAGGCTACAATTCTCATTTCCGGTAAAATTAGACATGAACTTTACATACAGAAAAACAGATTGGTAATTAGCTTCACAATTTTACCCCAAAAGTGACTTATAGTTTCATTTTTCTCTAATCTTTTATAAAATCTAAAAAAGCAGGTAAAGGAAAGCTTTAATCTTTGGTTCCTACCATTTGAAAGATGCAATAATCTATTGCAGCAGAGCCAATATATGGAAAGATGCCTATATTAAACATTATTTCATAAATGAAGCAGTAATGAGAATCTTTTCACTAAAGAGGTTATTACGCAGGAGTAATACTTTTTTTAGAAATTCAAAATGATAAAATATTGCTGTAAAAACCTGTAGGTGCACTTTATTCATATAAGCTTTCCTTTTAATGAGTGTGGTTTTTAATCAATAAAGTCTCAAAAGATAGAGGCAACTGCGTCAGACTAAATTACTTTATGTATGTTACAATGAATGGAATATTGGAATTGTAATTATCCTATAAATGTCAAATTATTTAAAAATAGGGAAATGTATTCTGAATTAAAATAATCCAAGTACTTTGGTTTTGTAATATTATGTAAACAACCAAATGTCTAAAACATAATTGTAAACAGGTAGAGTTGTAGAGTAAAATGTGTGTTTGCATTAACATTGAAGATATTTGCTTAATTTTTAAAAATGGAAAGAAATATAGAAAAGGTATATAGAACTGTTACTTTCTAAGTTCACAGAACTCTATAAGATTTAAGGCATCTTAATTTCTAAAAAAATAACAAATGCAATGATAATTCTTTTGGTCATGCAATTAAATCCATCATTATGGATACAATTGCTGCAAATTGGTCAAGCTATCTAACACTGATATACAAGATGGCATGGTGGCAGTTAATAGGTAACTAGTGGTCAATAATGGTCTTTCAGGATCTTCTCTGTCCTAGTATTTTGTTATTTTCTCAGTTGTTCAATAGTTCTGTTGTTACAGTACTGAGCTGAGCTCTCTCTCCTTTTCTTTTTTCTGTCTCTCAGTTTACTTTTTCATCCTCAAACGTACTACGTTTTTCCTCCAATTCTCTGTGCTATATATCCAAATTAGTTGTTCTTTACTTATGAATACTGTTGGAGCTCAGCTTCAGAGTCCTTTTTCTGAAATTTTTCTCTGACCCTTATCTCACATACAGATTACATTTTCACGTTCATCTTCTTTCTTCTTTCCATGTGCTTCCTTTCTTCTGTGGCCATTTTTGAGAAAAGAATTTTAAGAAATTGCTATATATCCTTTCTGGTCTCCTGCCCATTTTATTTTATAGTTGTCAGTTTTCTGTTGTTCTCAGTGGTACATCATATTAGTGACATCCTTCAAATACTACATGTATGTTCTCAAAAACAGAAATTAAGTGGTAAAAAAATTCACACAATATGATTTTCAACCTCGGCAACACTCCAAAAATGCTGCTCTCCCGTGTCCATTTGTCATTAAATTTATTTATATTACTATATGTTAGAGGCATATATCTTTAAAACTAGAGGATTAAATAATGATAAAACAGCTGATAATCTTACTGAAGATCCTTAGTACATGATGAGTCACATTTATTTTACTATTTTCCATAGTCTGTCTTTGTTTCTGGCTTTTGACAGTTTGATTGTGATATGTTCAGGTATGAATCTATTCTTACCAAGATTTAGCAACTTTTTCTTAAATAAACCTCTTCTGATTATATAATGGAAAACATTAATAAAAACTTAACTGATCATTGTAAAATGCTAGAGCTGTAGAAGGGTTATATGAGAGTTTGTGAGGTCCCAAGAATCTATAGCCAGACTTCTTGGTGAAGGTCTTAACCTGAATGAAGCTAGTCTGTAAAAACTAAGAGAGGTGGCTATTTTCTCAAATGCATAAATAACAGCCAACAAAATAAATAAAATAACAAGGCACACACACAAAAGAAAGAAAAAAACAGAAACAAGGCACAAGCAATGCAATAAATTAAATCTCCAGAAACCAACCAAAAAAGAAATGGAGATCTATGAATTGCCTGACAAGGAATCCAAAATAATAATCTTAAAGAAGCTCAGTGAGCTTCAAGAGAACACAAGGAGACAACTAAATAAAATAAGGAAACAGATTCATAAACAAAATGAGAATATCAACAGATATAGAAACTATAAAAAAGAACCAAACAGAAAGTCTGTAGATAAAGAGTACAATAAACTGAATTGGAAAATTCACTAGAGGATTTCAACAGCAGACATGATCAAGTGGAAGAATCAGCAAACTTGAAGACAGATCATTTGAAATTATTAGGTAATCAAGTAAAAGTAATTCAGAAAAAAAGTAATAATGAAGAAAAGTGAAGAAAACCTTGGAGACTTATGGGATATCATAAAGTGGACCAATATATGTATTATGGAAGTATAGGAGAAAAGAAAGAAAGGTGAATAGAAAATTTAAGAAATAGCAGCCAAAATTTTCCCAAATCTGAGGAAGGAAATGGACATTTAAGCTCAAGAATAGCAAAGGACACAAAATAGGATAAACACAAAGTGACCCACACTGAGACATATAATCAAACTGTCAAAAGTCAAAGACAAAGAGAGAATCATGAAAGCAGTAAGAGAAAAGTGACCCATCACATATAAGGGAGCTCCCATAAAATTATCAGCAGATTTCACAGCAGAAACATTAGAGATCAGAAGAATAGGGGATAACAGTCAAAGTGCTGAAAGCAAAAACTTCCCAAGAATACTATATCTGGAAAAATTCTCCTTCAAAATGAAGGTGAAATAAAGGTCATCCTGGACAAACAAAAGCTGAAGCAGTTCATCACCCTCACACATGCCTTACAAGAATTGTTAAAGGAAGTGCTTCAAGTTGAAACAAAGGAATAGGAGACAATAACCAAAAAGCATATGAAATACAAAGCACTTTGGTAAAGATAAATATATAGACAAATGCAAAATCCTACAGTCCTTTAATAATGGTGAAGAAATTACTTTTAATTCTGGTACAGAATTTAAAACCCTTTATCTTTAAAAAATATAATGATAAAATTTTATTGATAGATTCAAAATATAAAAGATGTAATTTTGTCATCAATAACAAAGTGGTGGGGGAGCATCTGAAGAAGCAAATTTTGTATGTGATTGAAGTTAAGTTGCTACAGTTTAAAATAGATGGTTATATCTATAAGATGTTTTATATAATCCCCATGGTAACCACAAATAAAATACCTATATATTATGCACAAAAGAAAACTTTAAAAGAATTAAAGCATGCTACTACAAAATATCAATGAAATAAAAAGAAAGGCGGCAATTCAGAACAAAAGAAAGAAAACAACTTCAAGACAGAAAACAATTAACAAAATGACAACAGCAAGTCATTCCCTTTAACAAATGGTCCTGGGTATATTGTATATCTACATGCAAAAAAATACAGTTTAACCTTCACCTTATACCACATATGAAACTTAACTCACAATGGAAAACCTAGAATTACAAAACTCTTAGCAGAAAACATAGGGAAAAAGCTTATAGCAATGATATCTTGGATATAATACCAAAAGCACAGGTAACAAAAACAGAAATAGGCAAATAGGACTACATCAAACTTAAGCATTTCTGCACAAGGAGTCAATAGACACATGAAAAAATGATTATCATCACTGGCCATCAGAGAAATGCAAGTCAAAACCACAATGAGATACCATCTCACACCAGTTAGAATGGCGATCATTCAAAAGTCAGGAAACCACAGGTGCTGGAGAAGATATAGAGAAATAGGAACGCTTTTACACTGTTGGTAGGACTGTAAACTAGTTCAACCATTGTGGAAGTCAGTGTGGCGATTCCTCAAGGATCTAGAACTAGAAATACCATTTGACCCAGCCATCCCATTACTGGGTATATACCCAAAGGATTATAAATCATGCTGCTATAAAGACACATGCACACATATGTTTATTGCAGCACTATTCACAATAGCAAAGACTTGGAACCAACCCAAATGTCCATCAATGATAGACTGGATTAAGAAAATGTGGCACATATACACTATGGAATACTATGCAGCCATAAAAAAGGATGAGTTCATGTCCTTTGTAGGGACATGGATGAAGCTGGAAACCATCATTCTAAGCAAACTATCTCAATGACAGAAAATCAAACACTGCATATTCTCGCTCATAGGTGGGAATTGAACAATGAGAACACTTGGACACAAGGTGGGGAACATCACACACCAGGGCCTGTTGTGGGGCGGGGGGAGAGGGGAGGGATAACATTAGGAGAAATACCTAATGTAAATGACAAGTTAATGGGTGCAGCACACCAACATGGCACATGTATACATATGTAACAAACCTGCATGTTGTGCACATGTACCCTAGAACTTAAAGTATAATAAAAAATAAATAAATAAATACACCTTTCTAATCTAAAAAAAAATCTACACAAGGAAATGGTCAACAGAGTGAGAAGGCAACCTATGGAATGGGAGAAAATACTTTTCAAAACATATATCTGATAAGGTGTTAATATCCAGAGTTATAAAGGACTCCTGCAATTCAATAGCAGAAAACAAATACCTAATTTTAAAATGGGCAAAGGACTTGAATAGACATTTCTACAAAGAAGATATACAAATGGCCAACAAGCATGTAAAAAGATGCTCAACGTCACTAATCACTGCGGAAATGCAAATCAAAACCACATGAGAAAGCACCTCACACCATTAAAATATCACTAACAAAAAAAATAAATAACAGAAAATAACAAGTGTTGGTGAGGATGTGAAGAAATTAGAACTTCTGTGCACTGCTGGTGGGAATTTAAAATGATGCAGCCATCATAGAAAATAAAGCACGGAGCTTCCTCAAAAAATTAAAAATAGAATTCCCATATGATCTGATCCAGTAATTTCACTTCTGGGTATATATTCAAAAGAATTCAAAACAGGATCGTGAAGAGATTTCCACACCTATGTTTATTGCAGCTTTATTCACAATAGCCAAGGGATGGAAGCAACCTAAATGCCTACTGATAGATGAATGAATAAAGAACATGTGGGGTGTGTGTGTATGTGTGTGTGTGTGTGTGTGTGTGTATTTCATATATATGTATGTATGTACACAGTGGAATACTATTCAGCCGTAAGAAAGAAGAAAATCTAGTCATGTGCTACGACATGGAAGAAACTTGAGGACGTTATGTAAGTGAAATAACCCACTCACAAAAAAGACAAAACTACACAATTCAACTTAAATGAGGTATCTAAAGTAGTCACACTTTTAGAAAATAGAAAGTTGATTGTCAGGACCGAGCATGTGGCCAGGTCAGGGCCGGAGGGAGTTGTTAAATGGTTGTATAGTTTCAGTTTTTCAAGACCAAAAAGTTCTAGAGGGCTGTTGTACAACCATATGCATATAGTTAACACTACTGATCTGTACATTTAAAAATAGTTAAGGCGGAACATCACCTTATGTATAAATATAGGCAAAGTGATCCCCAAGTACAATCTAGAATATAATGCCCTGAACATTAGAAATTCAGCTTATTTTAATTACCACTAATTCTTGATAAATTAAAAGTCTTGTTGTGCTATTTTAATTCTGTCAAATTTATTATTATAAATTTGATCAATTTCAATAATTAAATGTTAAGTTTTCTTTAAAAAAAAAAAAAAAGCATTTGAGCTGTAGACCAGAGAAATGGTGCTGCAGGTGCAGCTGCCTGGTGCAACCTATGGATATTTCATGAATTCAGCAGCATGTCTATTTGGCTGATACTACTGAACTGCTCAATATACACCAGTCAGCATCACTTTCACAAACCAGAATGACATCTTCAACAATGGCTGTAATGCCAAAGAGGTGAGGTTTAGTAAATTCTATGCACTTATTTACTTAGAATCCATGGTTTGTGACTCTATGGAATAGTATTAAAAACAAAAAGGTAAAGGAGACTGGCTGAACCAAATTTCATCATGACAAATGGTTATCCTTATAATCTGTAAATATTAATCCTAAATATGCTGGTATGATAATAATAAGAAGAATAGAAATAGATGTCTTTCTGTTATCAACCAATAAGAAGCTCTATGTTATTTAAGCCTTCTGATTGTTGTTCCATTAAAAATATTAATAAATAGTATGTTCTCCTAATGTTTGCTGAATTCAACCACTATAGTAAACCCAAGATTATTCCTAGGACACCAGTTACGCTTTATCACTTTATTTTATATGCATCTAAACCATTGTCATTAGAATGGTTTTACTTTCAGTCAGAATTACAGCGAGAATAACAATTAATACTCCCCTTTTGTGACAATACAGATCACCCACACACACCCCTTCGTGGCAACTAAGACATTTAAGATTATTTTGCCTCAAGGAGAGAAAATACAACCCAAATGTGTCCAGTAATAAAGGGAATTTATTGACTCATGTAACCCAAAGTGAATGGACATGGTAGGCATAGGACATGATTTGAACAGAGTTTGGAGACCTTTGGTTCTATTTATCTCCAGTTCTCTTTCTTTTGACCTCTCCCTGTGCTAACTTCTTCCCAGCACTAGTTTTCTTCATGGTAGCCTTTATAGCCAACACACTGCACCATTTAGAAAAGTGCCTCTGGACCAGCATTTTGAAAAGAGTCATGAGATTCACCATGATTGGATTTTCTTGAGCCATATTTTTACTTCTTTATCAAGTTCTGTGTCCAGGGAATAGAACAGAGGCTGAGGTCAGCTTCCCCAGAAACAGATAAAATGTTTTGGAGGCCAATGTAGACAATCTAGAAAGAAACTCTGGGTACTCTTAGAAAAGAGAGGGGTGGTTATATAGACAACAAATACACACTATGGCATCCCATGGGTGCTTTAAAAATAGTAAGAGCAGAGGGAAAACTACCACTCACATAGCAGCTGAGACCTCCGAGTCTGGCAAGATCTTTCCAATGGAGAGTCAAGAAATTCTTTCTCTCATGGAACCTGCTAGATGCAGAATGATGGATGAGTGGGAAGGGAATCTTGTTACGTAACTCCTATGTACCTGGGTACTTGTCATGCATTTTAAACTTAGTATTTTTTAAACTCCAGGAAGATATTATTATCACCCCCTCCACTCAAATTATTGAAGATAGATAAAGAAGTTTAGAGGGCTGGCCACATGATTTGGTAAGGGCAAAGCTGAACTACTTTAAAGCCAGGCCCTTTGATACCTGGAGGGTGGAGAACTAAAAGAAAGACAAAACAAAATCCAGTGGCCCAAGTTCCTAGCTATTAATGAATGGCAGGCACAACCCTCTTGTCAGGGGTCATATCACAGGTAATCTGTCTCAGTCTCAAAAGGAAGAACTCAGTTCTGATGCAGGTAAAGGGAGAAGATGACTTTGGGGTCATTTTACTTGCTGTGAGTCCAGATTACTAGCACTGCTCCTGGGTATCAGGAGTTGGCTAGACCCTCTTCCCGTTAAAGCTGCCCTGAAAGAAAATACATGAAAGCATCACTGGGCAACGTATAATTTATGGTATCCTGAGAGAATATTCACAGAAAAGAACCTAAGATCCCCTTAGGTATTTCTCCAATTCCCCTTCTCAACCGAGGGTCCACAAGTCCTCCTCTCCCCTCTTTCCCCTTCTGAGCCTGGTCTCATCTGCTCCACCTGGCTTCCTCTAGGCTTTCCTCACTGAAAGCCTGTTTTTGTTTGTTTCTTCTTGTTGTTGTTTGCCATCATTCATGCAAAATGGCATCCCTCCACATGGGAGACGTGAGTATGGGTGGTTCTCAGCCCTGAAGACTCAGCCTCTGCCTCCAAGAATTTTTGCTGAGGCTTCTTCATACCTAGAAGCAGCTCTCCAACAAAGAACTCATTCCAGTGGGCAAGAAAACAAAACTGACTCCATAACATTGCTTTCAATCTGTGTTCCCTAAAGAGAAGCTTTACAAAAAAAAAAAGAGTGACCTTAAAAAAAGAGGTGGGGAGTAACTTGAATGTGAAGGAGGGCTATAGCAATTATTGAAAATCAATCCACTCTCCTAGACCATAATAAAGACTTAAAAATAAAACTAAACATCTCAAAACCTGTGTAAGACAGAAAAGTTAAAACTGCCATAAAAGGGCTATTAAAATTGGTTCATTATTTCACCTAGGATAAGCTTTACTGTTAAAATAATTCAGTCCGTATTTTAGCTTTTTCCCACTAGATTATTTCAAGCATCATTTAGAGAAAACTTATTAAATGCAAGAAATTCCAACATGTAGGTGGAACAACTAATCACATAAAGTTATATTCCACAGTCAATAGTAACTCAAGCTCACTAGAGATCATTCTAAATTGGATGTTGAGGGTAGAAAGCACTCGATAAATACTAGCTATTACTATCATTATCATCATTATTGTGATTAGCCTTTATATCCCAGATTTAATACTTCAGTAGTACTCAATATTCAAGGTTATAGAACAGTAATATATAAATATTAAGTATTATAATTACTCCTGCAAGTAAATAGTAATATAGTTCTAGGAATTTTAGAGGCACTACATAAATATATGGTAAACAAATGTTTAAAGACTTGGCATATGCTTTCTGGGACAGAAAATTGAAATTTGACTTTGTCACAAATTGTGAATTAATAGAAATTAAGTGTGGCATGTGTATTTTAGAGCTATTTCCTGAACTCCCCTATTCTTTCATTTATTCTATTGCTTATATACACTCTGGCTCATTCCAACTTCTTTTGGAAAATTTGTTTTCAGGATACCGGAGAAAATACACCAAATTTGATTTTCAACATTGTGGGCATCTTCTATTTCCCAGAAGTTAGGAAGTGTTCTGATAAACCCCTTTTGACCCTCCCATCTGATTTAGACGTTTTTTTCTTTGTTGTTGTCATGGTATCTTGTGGACACAACAGTGTTCGTGTTTTTAAACTTAGACTGTGACTCATTGGTGGGTTATGAAATCAATTTAGTGTAACCATAATTCAATTTTTAATGGAAATAAAATAGAATCACATAGAAAATGTCAGAGAACATTACATGTTGAAAGAGTAAGTATAGCTGTGTGAATTTTTTTTCAACTTCATACACTTATATATGTTTGTATGTATGTATGATTTGGACCATAAAGTAAAATACATTTCTTAGTGTATGTCATGGTCAAAACAAAATTTCAAACTTTGATTACACATAATAAATTACATGGTTTGGCTGTGTCCCCACCCAAATCTCATTTTAAACTGTAGTTCTCATAATCCCCACATGTCATGGGAGGGACCCATTGGGAGGTAATTGAATCATGGGGGTGATTACCCTCACGCTGTTCTCATCATAATGAGTCCTCATGAGATGTGATAGTTTTGTAAGGGGTTTTTCTCCTCTCTGCTGTCGCCTTGTGAAGAAAGACGTGATTGCTTCCCCTTTTGCCATGATTGTAAGTTTCCTGAGGCTTCTCCAGCCATGTGGAACCGTAAGTCAATTAAACCTTTTTTCTTTATAAATTACCCAGTCTCAGGTATGTCTTATTAGCAGTGTTAGAACGGATGAATACAATAAATTTTATTTTTTCCTACTGGCAAGTCTTCTTGAAGGAGCAGGCCCCTGGTTCTGATAACCAACAATGAATGTTATCAGCCACCTATTGAGTTCTAACTCTATATATCATACCTGTTTTAATTTAGAATAAAGATAATTAGCACATAACCCACAACTGGCCATACCACCCCCAAATTCTGTTTTCCCCCTATGGAAGAGAAATGGTGCTATGGAACCACCAGTTCAAGAATATTTTGTTTCACTACAGATCTAGGATATGGAGTATTCATCATTCTGGGAAAATGGATGCAAACAGAGATGGCCTTTTGTAGTATTCTTCTTTCATGGGGGAGGAACATAATTAAAAACTTATTCTCTTGAGTGTTTGAGAAACAGAAAGAAGGCCTGCTTGCCTGGAGAATAAATAGAATAATGGGAAGAGTAGAAAGAAGAGGAGCTGTAGGCAAGAGCTAGATTATCAAGTTTTTATTTAATTCTGGTTGCAATTGCAAGCACTTAAATGGTTTTAATCAGGAGAGTAATGTATTGTAAGAATGTCTTCAGAAAACTCTGCCTGCTGATTGGAAACTAAGTTGCAGAAAAGCAAGACTGGAAAGTATTTAGAAGACTGGTGCAGTAGTCTAGGTGACTGGTAATGGTGGCGTGGACTAAAGTTATTATAGAGAAGATAGTAAAAAGTTACATAAATATAATTGTGAAGATTGAGATGTCTGAGCTTAGCACTGAATAACATGGATGAAGATTCACCAAGGTTTGGACCCAGCAACAGAAAATGGTGATGTTATTTGCTGAGACAGCAAAAACACAGGGACTGGGGATGTCAGTTTGGAGGAGGGATATGCAGTAGTTCAATGTGAGCCATATAAAATATGGTATATCCAGATGGAGACTTACTGACCTAGACATGGGATTGGATTAGATAATCTATAAAAAGAGAGTATAGTCATTCTTCAGTATTCAAGGGGAATTGGTTCCAGGACACCCTCTATTCCTCAACTCCACTCCCATCATGGATACCAAAATCCATGGACGCTCAAGTCCCTTATGTAAAATAACATTGTATTTGCATATAACCTATACACATCCTCCTGTACACTTTATCTCTATAGTTATAAGATTATATATAAATACCTAATACAATGTAAATGCCTTATAAATAGTTGTTATTCTGCATTGTTTTTGTACTATTTTTTATTGTACTGTTATTTTTCATTTTTTCCAAACATTTTCAATCTGTTGTTAGTGAATCCATGGATGCAGAACCCATAGATACAGAGGACTGACTATATACGGAGAGGAATGCTGAAGACAGAGACTATAGGTTCTCCAGTATTCAGAAGACCAAATGAACAGAAGCAGGAGCTTAAGAAGGTGCACGAGGTGAAGTAGATAGAAAACTTCTAGGTGAGCATACAGAAGCCACTCGGAATACAATTTCAAGAGGACATGAAGTCAGCAATGTAGCACCCTGAACAGACTCACTACAATGAGAACTCAAAATTAACTACATGTTTTATCAACACTTAAGTTTTAATGACCTTAAAGGATTATTTCACTGGGTTCAAGGTGAGGCAGAATGCTTGATAAGAGTGGGTTAACCGTCAATATGCAATCAAGGTCCATTGGATCCAATTTTCATTTTTTTCTTTGATTTTGAACAGTTCTGTTTGTGATGATTGACATCATTTTTATTCTTTCTTAGAAGCCTTCCACAAAAATACAAAGTGTACTACTTCTTAATAGAATAAAACTCACTTAACTTGAATTAGCACAGGAATCCACTGGACTCTTTTATAAATCTAAAACACATGATGGAATCTTCGTAATTTTTTCTTTCCTATGTCTTGAAACATTTTGCTATTTCAGAATTTATTTTATCATTATTTATCAATTATTCCAAGGTATTCTTTTAAAAAAGACTAAAACAAAAAGACATGCTATGGTCCAAATGTTTGTGTCCCCTCAAACTTGTAAGTTGAAACCTAATCCACAATTATTAGAAAAATGAGATAATGAATCTAGAGAGAGGGATGGCAACACTCCAGACTCTAAAATGATGATGAAATTGATTATACAAATGAAGTATCAGACTATGAGCCTTCACATGATACCTTATATATAAATTTTCTCAAATTCAAGAATCAGTGGGGCCAGGCACAGCGGCTCATGTGTTTAATCCCAGCACCTTGAGGGGCCAACGCAGGAGGACAGCTTGAGCCCAGAAGTTCAAGACAAGCCTAAGCAACATAGCAAGACTCTGACTCTATAAATAAATAATCAATGTATGGACAATATTCTTCTAAGTACAAAAAAGAGATATAGTGTTATCATTTAGTAATTTAAATCAAACACTTTTTGTGACAAAAACCTGACCGTTTCTTTTTGCTAAAAGAGCATGTGACAATATTCTTTTTTGTGAAGTGCTTACATCAAAACATATTTGATACAAATGGATTTGCTATGTTTAATGCTTAGTATAATTTTTGAAAAAAAGTCATTTTATCTTTATTCTTCCTTATTTAAATTACTTACAAAAATGTAAATATTTTAAGTAAATAATGATAGTCCATTAGATCCCAATGTTAAGTGGTGATGGCTGTTTTTCTTAGTACACTAAGTGATAAGAAAAAATGTGAAATGAGGAAATAAAGACTATAAGTATATATTTTAAGCAATTGTTTTGGTTTTGTTTTCCTCTTTTATATAGACTTTTTAAAAATTTTTATTTCAGCAGCTTTTGGGGTACAAGTGGTATGTGGCTAATTGGATGAATCATACAGTGGTAAATTCTGATATTTTAGCGCACTCATCACCTAGGTAGTGTACACTGTACCTAACATGTAGCTTTTTATCCCTGGCCCCCCACCTACCCTCCCCTTCTGAGTGCCTAAAGCCCATTATATTACTCTGTATGCCTTTGCATACTCATAGTATATATTTTAAGCAATATTTTAAGAAATACTGCTGGGAGGAGGAGCAGAGAAATCATCAGTAGCTGGAGAAAGATGTGGATTTAAGGGATTTTAACATGGATACCGTTAAGGCATTTTTGTTAACAGGAATAAACCCAAAGAAAGGCAGAAAGAAGAGATGCAGCAAATGAATGGGGCACCATTCATAAATGAATAATGAATAAATGAAGGGACACCATTTTTCAGTTCGTACAAGGGATGAAATCCAGAGCTCTAGTAAAGGAGTTAGCCTTAGAAGGGAACGCTATGCTCTTCTCTTGCAAAAAGATAGTAGGTAAACAGACATCCCATGGATTTATAAGTAGAGAGAAGAGGTAGTGCTTGTCTGATTACATGTCCCTTCTCTAAAACTTATGAATCAATCCACGTTAAGGAACTTAGCAAAGGTCACACAGCTAATCAGCAGTGAAGAGATTCAAAAGCAAATCTGATTGCAGAGTTCAAATGCTTAACCATCGTACTGTGAGTGGGAAAAAGTTATTGCTCATCTTACAGTAATCTAGTCATCTGTGTGCTCCAGATCTCTTTTTCATATTTTGTTATAGTATTCATCATATTGTTTTGTGATTATTTGTTTATGGTGTGTCTTTTCGCAAGAAATCTCAGCGCTTTCTCTGGCAAGCAATGTACCTGTCAAACAAGATGTGTTTATCTAATATTCGGTGAATGAATGCCAGAAAGAAAGGAAAGAAGGAAGGGAGGGAGGGGGAGGAAATAAGGGGAAGACGGATAAAACAAGTATGCAAATCAATATCTGGTCCTGATTCCGCCATATACTGGCTTATAACTGGGGATGTATTGTGTACATTTAAAGTTTTGGACTAGATTAACACTTCTCAAAATCTATTTTTCTGTGGAAACTTTCGTTAAATAAATAATAATTTACCCAGACTGTAAACAAATCAATTACTTAAATGGTGTCATGGTCGATGGCCTATGAGCAATATCAAGTCATGTCCTTGTGCCCTCAGCTCACCAAGGGACTTTGAGGAGCCACACATCTCCTAGAACTCCGATAAGAGCCTTGGAAAAGCACTGAACAAGATGGTTTCCAGCTCTAAAGACTGGTCAACCCCCAGGGAGGAGTTGGCAAACCTTGGCGAGGGTGGAGGGGTGATTCAAACTGTTGACTTCTCCAAAACCAATACCATAAACCTTTATCTGAATAATAAATTATTTAAAAGGGCAACAAAAATAAATTTTGTTTTGTCTTATATGACTTTAAGAATAATTCTATTACTAAAAAACCCATCAGTTTCATTGTGATAATTCATAAATTAATATTTCTACCTCTTATCAGACGTATACACAAGGTGCAGTTAGCACAATTGTTGACATGGTAAGAATAAGCAAGAATAAAATTACTTTTAACAGCTCATAAGCCACAACAGCATATTTTTCAGTGCATATAAAACTATACTAGGGCTTAAGCCTTATTGTTATTGTTAAATTTTCTTTTTTTGTTTATTTCCATATTTCTATATGTATTCTATAGACAGATAACAACTTTATGAGTAAGTAAAAATTTATCATTTTAGTACTCTAAAAATGAGAAAACAGCAATTTTTCAATATCTTTCCTTTTTTCTGTTATCAGTTTTTCTATTAAGAGTTTTGAGGATTACTTTCTGTTAAAGCATCAAATCAAGCTAATTACTCAGAGACAGTTTAAAGTTAAAGATAAACTGAACAATTCCAAAGATAAAAAGCACACCAACACTCTCTCGAGAAACCTCTGTTGATCACATTTGGACTGGTTCTTAGTAATAACAAAATAGTGTCTTGAAATAGCAACAGAAAAGAGTACAAAAGAGAGCAGGTCATTCATGGAAGAGTCCTCCTTTGAGATTGCTCTAAATTTATTTCTGACGCTTTAGGCAACAATAAACCTCTCTTTTTCCCAACATATGCAGTAGCATTAACTCCAAGTTCCTGTCACAATAGGATAGAATTACAACCACAAGTTATTTTTATTAAAAATCTCTCATTTAACTTTGAGGTGAAACACACACTGTGTATTTCGCTCTCAATTCTCTCACATAAAAGAAGTACTTCAAGTTCCAAGGCTTTCTCTGGACTCACCGGCTGTAGAGTCACAATTAGGTAAAGGGCAAACAATAATGCTGTGAAATTTACGAATTCAATACCCATGATAACCACTACTTATGTGGGAGCCACAAGACCATGGCAAGCAGTGATTTGTAATTTTGTTGAGTTGCATACCCCTTGAACATGAAGAAATGGGTCATCCCCTATTCATCACTGAATTCATAAGTGTCTTTTGAAATCATTAAAAGTTTGTTGCTTCATTTGAAAGATGATAGCCAAGTAAGAGAGACAGTGAAAGTAACATTTTTTTTTCCTTTTTCAACTTCTATTTTAGATTCCAGGAGTGCATGTGTATGTTTGTTACAAAGGTATACCGTGTTATACTGGGGTTTCGAGTACCATCGAACCCATTACCCAGGAAGTGAGCATAGTACCCAATAGGTAGTTTTTTAGCCCTGCCTCCCTCTCTCTGTCCCTCCTCTTGTATTACCCACTGTCTGTTGTTCCCATCTTTATGTCCATGTTTACCCAATGTTTAGCTCCTACTTATAAGTGAGAACACGCAGTATTTGTTTTTCTGTTTTTGTGTTAATTCACTTGGGATAATGGCCTCTAGCTGCATCCATGTTGCTGCAAAGGACATAATTGTATTATTTTTATGGCTACATAGTATTCCACGGTGTATATGTACCATGCTTTCTTTATCCCATCCACCACTGATGGGCACCTGGTTTGGTTCCATGTCTTTGCTACAGTGAGTAGTACTGTAATGAACATACGAGTACATGTATCTTTTTCAAAGAACAACTTATTTTCCTTTGGATATTTACACAAGAATTGAATTGCTGGGTTGAATGGTAGGTCAACTCTTAGTTCTTTGAGAAATCTCCAAACTGCTCTCCACAGTGGCTGAACTACTTTACATTCCACCAACAGTGTATAAGCATTCACTTTTCTCCACAGCCCCACCAACATCTGTTATCTTTTGACTTTTTAAGAAAAGCCATTCTGACTGGTGCGAGATGGTCTCTCATTGCGGTTTTGATTTGCATTTCTTTGATGATTAGTGATGAGCATTTTTTCATCTGTTTGTTCACCGCTTGCATGTCTTCTTTTGGGAAGTGTCTGTTCATATCTTTTGCCCACTTTTTAATGGGGTTATTTGGCTTTTGCTTGTTGATTTGTTTAAGTTCCTTATAGGTTCCGGATATTAGGCCTTTTTTGGATGTGTAGTTTGCGAATATGAAACAAACACTTCGAAGCAGTTATTTGTGACTATCATATAGAATGCAATTCGTGAATCTCAATTACATAGATGACTCAGTCTAGAACCAGCAATTTGTAAAATTATGTTCATATTTGCGAGGTTCTGAGAGTCCTGTTTGGTATTCCTCATGAATGTGACATTTTGATTCCAAATGTGCTTATTCTTTTTTTATCTGTGTATCACAGATATGAAAATGTAGTAGTTTCTCTCAAATAGTTTTTGCGCCTACCCCCCAGAAAACCTGCCTTGATCTTCTACTGTCAATAGAATCAAATTACTATATTATGGTTTTATTTATAGAATTATGAAAAATGATATGTCCTATCAAGGCTTAGGTAGGTTCTTTAAGTTTTAATAAAGACTATTTCTATATCAAATACTTTGTTTTACAATTTGCATTCTAACGCAAAATTGAACTCTATGTGTATCTGTGTTTGTATTTGTGTGTGTGTGTGTGTGTTCACTCAGGGTCCCCATTAACAGGTCATGTGGCAAAGGGCAACACACTAGCAGGATCACCCAAGCACTGTTCACGCAGCCCAGAGAAGGGAAGCTCCTGTGGATAAAATTACATTCAAGACATGCGTGGACCCTGGAAGCCTAAAAATGGAGATTCAGCAGACTAGGAGAAGAATGTTTCTGCAGGCAAGCAGAAGGCAAAGTTTAGAACATCAAGACACGGAGGTGTAAAACTGCATGATCTATAGGGAGACACACTTTCTTGTGGCAAGAAAATCATGCATAGACTTTACACAGACACACAGATCTGGTTCAAATCCTGACTCTCTAATTTTTATATTGGACTAATTTTGGAATTGTGACTGTAAAGCAAATCAAATAACTACTTCAAAAAATTTTTTTTTTCCTTTTCTGTGACATCTGACTTGTGGCGTGGGAGAAGAAGATGAGTGAAAACAGATTCAAAATCTTATGCATCTTTACAAAATGCCTGTCTACTAATCCTGAGGAAATGTGATCCCTATTCTTCACATCTACTGGGCAAATGACTTTTTGAATGGATCAAATAAATTTTAAAGTAATATAAAGATAAACATTCCCTCAAATGCCTCTCCCCACATTACACATAGATCTGGTAATTTTCCTTGCTCGACATAGTATCAGTACTAATTTCCTCTCCGAAATTACTTTAGAAAGCTAAGAAAAAAAAAGTGTGAAAATTAGATTAGAATGAATATATTTAATTTTAGTTTTAATTTACTATCACTATCTCAATGATAAAACACATACCACAAACACAGGGTGATCTGTGACTGTAGCTATTGACTAAAAGAAGTGCTAAAATAAAAATCCATATTTAATTTTAGGAAATCCAAACTGAGCCTCTACTATTTTGTTCATTAAAGTTCTATTGGTTTGCTTCCGCCCAATTACAAAGTGTTAATTTAAACATTAATGTTCATCTAACCATTTAAAAATAATGCATTTTTATTTCAAGTAAGCATAGTAGTAGAAACTATCTTTAGTAACAGTCTTAGTCAGTTTTGGGCAGCTGTAACAAAGTACCATAGACCGGGTGGTTTATAAACAACAGAAATTCATTTTTCGCAGTTCTGGAGGCTAGAGTGTCACGTTAGCATGCCAGCATGGTCAGGTTCTTGTGAGACCCCACCAGGCTACCTGGATTGCAGGCTGCCATCTTCCCATTTATCCTCACATGGTAAAAAGAAAACTAGTTAGTTCTTGGGCCTCTGCTCATAAGATCACTAACTCCATTCATAAGGACTCCATTCTCATGACCTAGTTACCTCTGAAAGACCCCACCATCTAACGCCATCACATTGGGGGTTAAGACTTCACCATATGAACTTTGGAGATACAGATACAGATTTGCCCATATACTTGATAGCTTATGCTTCGTTTCTTTGATTCCCTTCAAAGCAAAACATCTCAACAGAATTATCTCTAAAAATTCCCCCAGTTCCTAACCTCTAACCCACCCTAGTCAGGCCAGCATCCTCACTTCTCAACAGACACCATTCTTGTCAGGATCACCAGTGACCTCTATAACAGCAAACCCAGTGGTCACTTCTTGCTCCTCAGTGTAGCTGGTATCTCAGCAGAATTCAAGTAAATGAATCTCTTATTTTTTAAACCCTCCCTTGAACTTTGTGATACAACTCTGTTTTCTATCCTACATGGTAAGGTATTCCTTCTTAGTATCCAATCCTTCCTCCTGTGTTCCACCTTGGATTGTTGGAATTACTCAGGAATCTCTGCTGAATGCTCTTCCCTCCCCTCCCTAGTTTAACTTACGCATTCTCATGAATTTAACACCATAATTTTGTGGCGGGTCTCATGGCCATGTCTCCACATCACATGGAACTCTAACAGCTCTTGCAACCTTAATATAATGTGACTTTTTTTTTCTTAGAGACTTGATCTTGCTAGGCTGGCCTACAAGCTAGGTAGTCTCAGCTACTCAGGAGGCTGAAGGGGGAGGATCTCTTGAGCCCAGGAGTTTAAAGCTAGCCTAGCAAGATCCTGTCTCTAAGAAAGCATCTTGATGTGACTTCTTTTATCAGATAGTTTTAGGGTCATACCTGAGTGGCAAAAAAAGACAAACGACTGTTGCTTTAAAAAGACAGAAGAATATTCCTTTTTTCATATCAGTAAAGTGTGAAGACAAGCAGTTCAAGGCTGGAGTGCTGATAACTCTTAGCTTGATGCTCTAACACACTTAGTAGATGATTCCCCCTTCACAGCCCAAGATGGCGGCTCCAGTTTCAGCCATCTTGGCTGAAGAAAGGAATATAGAAAAGATAAATCTTTTCTCCTTAAGAACACTTAACAGGAAGTTTCACATAGCACCTCCACATTCCATGCTTCAGAGCACAGTAACCTGGCCAGACGTAACTACAAAAAAGTTTGGAAAATGTAATCTCTCTTTTTGGTGGCCATGCACCAAGCTAAGATGATGGCCTTCTATTACTGGAGCAACTAGAATTGAGGGAAAAATTAGCAGTTCTATCACACTTCCAAGATCTGTTTCCTTTCTAATCTCTGGGAGAATAAATGCCACTCCATCCACAGATTTGCTGAAGTCAGGAACCTCTCTGTGTTTTACAGTAATAGTATCAGGAACACCAAAAGTAATTGTTTTTACCAATGCATCCAATCTGGTTAAATTATATTGTACAATATAACACAAAAATTAAAACACAAGTGAGTAGAAACACAAATTGCAAAACAATCTTTCTACAGGTAAAATTTACTGTATTATCAAAGTATACCTTGAATCTCTATAATTGGATCTCCATCTTTACGGCCACCACCTTATTTTCTGGCCATCATCCTACCTTGCCCGAACTACTATAATATCTTTGTAACTGGTTTTTCTGCTTCTTTTTTGCCCCCTTCAATCTATTCTCCACACTTCAGCAAAAATAATTTGAAAGTTGTCCTTTCCTCTTTAAGACACTCTAATTGCTTCCCATTGTACAGAATGTAAACCCCTCCCTGTATGACCAAGCCCTGACTGTGCTCTGACATCGCTTGGATTCCTCTTCCTCACGACCACAGCTGCTCTGAAGCACTGCTTTTCTTTAATATGTTGACTTTCCACCAATTTTATAGCCGGCCATTTGCATGTGCTGATTTTATCTATAATTTTTTTTTTTTTTTTTTTTTTTGAGACAGAGTCTTGCTCTGTCACCTGGCTGGAGCGCAGTGGCACAATCTCGGCTCACTGCAATCTCCACCTCCTGGATTCAAGCAATTCCCCTGCCTCAGCCTCCCAAGTAGCTGGGACTACAGGCACGCACCACCGCGCCCAGCTAATTTTTTGTATTTTACTAGAGACAGGGTTTACCATGTTGGCCAGGATGGTCTCGATCTGCTGACCTCATGATCCACCTGCCTCAGTGTCCCAAAGTGCTGGGATTACAGGCGTAAGCCATCGTTGACTCTTCCATTTTCCTCTCGTTCGGTCCTTATTCTTTGGAGGGTCATTATAGAGGGTCAATTTGGCAACTAAGGCCTGAGAAGTTTTCTTAAAATGCTTGTTGCTTGTCAGGTGAAGATGAACTTGACTTTCTTAGGACATTTACTTGGTGAGATTTAATTTAAAAGATTAGATTCCTTTTATTCTTTATTTTTATCTCCATATCAGTCATATGAAGTCTTTCCTGATCCTCTCATCTAATGGAGGCTTCTTTTGCAAATCTGTTCTCTATTTCAACCATTTGCTTCCTTTATAGCACGTAGAAGGTATCACAACTGTTTTAAGTATTTGTCTCCTCAACTGGAATATGGGAACAACACAGTGCCTGATGCATAATAGATGCTTAAGCTATTTTGTTGCATGGATTAGCAAAAGAAAGATCTGAACCATTTGTAAATATATTCCCAGTCTCACAAACTGGGATGATGAGAGAGAGTCACACAAATCACAATACACCACCCTTTCATAAACCTGACCTTGATGCTGAAGATGGATAACTTCACTCTCAGGCTGATGTTAAGGGTCCAGCATTGCCAGGTTTGTCTAATATGGTGAGAACAGCACAGGAGGAAGCAGATAATCTATTACGGCATCTGTGAACCATAGCAGGTAATGAGTCATCATTATATTCTTTTGTATTCTCACCTATTTTTTTTTTTTTGAGATGGAGTTTTGCTCTTGTTGCCCAGGCTGAAGTGCGATGGTGCGATCTCGGCTCACCACAACCTCCGCCTCCTGGGTTCAAACGATTCTCCTGCCTCAGCCTCTCAAGTAGCTGGAATTACAGGCATGAGCCACCACGCCTGCCGAATTTTTTGTATTTTTAGTAGAGACAGGGTTTCTCCATGTTGGTCAGGCTGGTCTCGAACTCCTGACCTCAGGTGATCTACCCACCTTGGCCTCCCAAAGTGCTAGGATTACAGGAGTGAGCCACTGCCCCTGGCCTGTACTCTCACCTTTAATCCCCATGTGATGCCAAAGCACGTGAGAAGTGAAATAGTGCAGGGGTAATGTTTTCATGGTGACTGAATCCTCTTTCTTATCAATGACTCAATTTTTAAAAAAGAAAGGTATGAAAACTGACTATAGAGTCAGGGTTCTCCAAAAAAACAGAACCAATAGGATATCTTCAGACATGCAGAAAGAAATTTATTGTGAGTGATTGGCGCAGGTGATTATGGAGGCTAGTGAGTCCCTCTATCTGCTGTTCACGAGCTGGAGGCCCAGGAAACCTAGTGGTGTAGTTCCAGTCCAAACCCAAAGACCCAAGAACCAAGGGAACCAATAATATAAGTCCCAACCCTAGTCTAAGGGCCTTAAAACCAGGAGCACTAATGTCTGAGGATAGGAGAAAACAGACGTGTCAGCTCAAGCAAAGAACAAATTCACTCTTCCTCTGCCTTTTCTTCTGCCAGGCCCTCTATGGATTAGATGATACCCGGCTGCACTGGTGAGGTTGATCTTCACTCAGTCTGTCCACTCAAATGCTAATCTTTTCTGGAAATGCCCTCATAGACACACCCAGATATTATCTTTTACTAGTCATCTTGGCATCCCTCAGTCCGGTCAAGTTGACACATCAAATTAACCATCACAGCTACCATATGGTATGTGGAAGAGGCCTTGAACACCAGGCTCTTCACAGGTGTCCATATTACTCACGTCTCCCTGCAGCTTGTCTGTTCATGCATAATATAACCACAGACAGCTGAGAAAAACCAAAAGTAAATGTCCTAAGAAAGTCAAGTTCCATCTTCACCTGACAAGCAACAAACATTTTTAGAAACCTTCTCATGCCTTGCGTGCCAAGCTGACCCTCTACAGTGATCCTCCAAAGAATCAGGACTGAACAAGAGGACAGATTCATAAGTTATCCTGCAGCAGAGATGAGACAGAAATGGCTCAGAGCCAGACAAGGCTTTAGGAAGAAATAAATAGAAAAGAAAGGCCAATACATGGACCAAACCAAAACCTAGAACATGGTCAGCAAGAAATAAACATAAAGAGTGGGCCAGAGACAAGCAGATTTTGCAATAACAAAAGTAAACCCACTGACTAGTTCTACAAAATCTAGGGCATCTTAGACACAAACATTGAAGATCTTTGCCACTGAAGTTTTATATTTAGGTAAGATAAATATTATGTGTATGTGTGTGTGTGTGTGTGTGTGTATATATATATATATATATACACACACGTATATATATACGTATATATATATACACACACATATATATACACATACATATTTGTGAACTTTTGAAGGAATACAATTCTCCATACATTTATCAACTGTTTTGCAATGATTGTTTACCACATATTTGTCATATTCTATTTTTTATAGCAGTGTTTTTGTTGCTTTTGTTGTTGTTGTTGTTTGTTGTTTGTTTTTTGAGATGGACTTTCACTCTGTCGCCCAGGCTGGAGTGCAGTGGTGCAATCTTGGCTCACTGCAGCCTCTGCCTCCTAGGTTCAAGCAATTCTCCTGCCTCAGCCTCCAGACAGCTGGGACTACAGGAGCCCACCACCACGCCCAGCTAATTTTTTCTGTTTTTAATGGAGATGGGGTTTCACCAAGTTGACCAGGCTGGTCTCAGACTCCCGACCTCAGGTAATCCACCAGCCTCAGCCTCCCAAAGTGGTGGGATTACAGCTGTGAGACACCACACCCAGCCAGCTGTGTTTATTTTTAAATACCCACATAAATTAGACTATTGTAAGTACAGTATTGGAAAATGAACTTTGGTGCACCTGTGTCTGCTTACATGTAAATGAGATATTTTAGATAAATAAATACAGTTCTAGCTACTGTTTTCAAAAATGCAGCATTCTCTACACTGGTGCTTTTCTGTTTCATGTCAAGCCCATCTGTTGCAATTATCCAAATGCCTATTTTTATTATTCAATTTCCCAATAACAATGTGTCTGCCTTCCTACTCCGGTTAACTCTCTATTCTTTTATGTGCTTCCTATAGAACAATCAGCTCTATTCACTATGTTCTACTGCTGAAAAATATTTTCGGAAAGGAAGGGTATATGGATAAAGGGCAACCAGATAGAGTTGCTAATAATTATGGTCTTGGATACATAACTACTACTCACCCTTCAATCAAGATTTACCCGGGCAGATTCATCTTGTCTACATTTGTATTTAGTAGTAGTAGTAAGAGTATCAGGAATATCAAATGTATTTATTTTTACCAATGCATCCAATTTGGTTAAATTATACTGCACAATATAACATATAAAAATTAAAACACAAGTGAGTAGAAAGACTTTTTCTGAAATGCAGACCATTGGCAGCTATCGCAAATATATTTTCTAGATGGAGCTCATGCCTCTTCCCCTGTCTTGGTATAGGTAGCAGAGTCCTCACACCAGGGAGTGGGCAAGCCACATGCATGCTCGCCCAGGATCTTCCTTATTTTCCAAGTATGAGACAAAGCATCATACTTACCATCAGCCACTCGGCCTACCTAATGATCTCAGGCTCAATTCTGGTTTTAGGAAATGGTGCTGAGAAATCTCATAACTGCATCTAACCCCAAGTCAAAACTAATGTCTAACGTAGTACTGCACTTAGCAATCCTTTTTGCTATTAGGACCCTAAACTCAGAGCATTCTCTTCGATCTGACCTACAAAATGTGTCAGAAAAACACTAAGAACCCAATGACTACTTTTTTTTTTTTTTAAAACAGAGTTTCACTCTTGTTGCCTGGGCTAGAATGCAGTGGCACGATCTTGGCTCACTGCAACCTCCACCTCTTGGGTTCAAGCAATTCTCCTGCTTCAGCCTCCCAAGTAGCTGGGATTAGAGGCATGCACCACCACGCCCGGCTAATTTAGTATTTTTTAGTAGAGATAGGGTTTCTCCATGTTGGTCAGACTGGTCTCGAACTCCTGACCTCGTGATCCACCTGCCTCGGCCTCCCAAAGTGCTGAGATTACAGGCGTGAGCCACCAGGCCCGGCCTCCAATGATTACTTTTAAATAAGGGAAGAGATTTAATTTCTAATCATTGGAAATGAATTATTGAGTAAAACTTTGTGGTTTTCCTCGGCTGTAAAATGCTATGAAGTTTTACTATGTGTTATGGGATCTTGAGCCAAGGTATGATGCATTGATGGCTTTGATAAGTACCGAATTCTGCATTAAACAGCAGGGAGAGCAAGGTGAGAACATGTTTTGTGTGTGCTTTTAGCCAAGTAGCCACCATAAGTAACATTCTTTAGAGCATAAAAGCAGCATCAGTTAAGCTACCTGTTATTTTTCTAACATACCAAAAATAGTCTCGTTTTCCACTTGAGAACATGGTTTCAGAACCCCTTAGCAATTGCTTAAAAAAAAAAAAACTTAGCAAGTTTTGTTCAGAGTTCATTGTCAAAATGTCATAATGTCCTTCTTTGGGGCAAGCCATCCTCAGGCAGAGGTCAGAACATTTTTTCATCACTACAGAAATACTTTCACAGGAGAAATTTTCCCTCAAAACAAATTGAAGAGTTTACCACTGGATAATACCAGGGCTAAGGAAACCACAATAAGGATATACAACTAATATCATGTGGTTTTTCTGGGTGAGAAACATATTCCGTTTCAAGGTCTGTTTATAAACTATTTCTTCAGCCATTTATCCTGGTTCTGTCACCAAAGATGATCTGATGAGCTAAAGAAATCTTTATCCTCATTAAATAAAACATAATTGTGAAAACAATTGTTCTCTGAATCTTTGGCCATCTCCTCATGTTTCATCTAACAATGATGCAGCTCAGATAAGAAAGTACAAACACTAGATTATAAAATATAAATATTTGCCTCAAAAGTACTAATAGCTCTCCTACAAATACATTTTGATGTCACTTCTAAAATTATTTACATAACTGCAAATTCATGCTCTTCAAAATAGGAATTGGTAAATAAATTTTTAAGGTAAAATATAAATCCCCCAAATTACATGGTGATATAGAAACAGCACAGAGAACACAGCCCCCTCTGGGCCGATAATGCTAATGGTATCTGAACAAAGACTTTCTAAACCACCTGCCAAAAGGAATAATAAGGCAAATTAATAACAAACTAATAACAAGGTAAACTTCTTTAGCATTTTGTTTGTAATATTTACACATCTTGTTGCATATAACTATAGCTCATCCCTTTCCATTTATGCAGTATTAGAAGATATGAATATACCACAATGTTTTTTTCTGTCAATTTTACAGTTGATGGATGTACGGGTTGTTTCCAGTTTGGGCTATTCAGGTAATGTGCTCTTAAACATGTGTGTGCATGTGTGTTTGACATATATATAAACATTTTGGTTGACTGTCTAACCACTAGTGAAATTCTTAGGTAATTGGGTACACATATGTTCAAATTTAGTAGAAAAGGCTAAATGCTTTTTCAAATCTATTTCACTCCCATCAAAAGTAGAGTTTAAATTTATCCACATCATCTTATTTGGTATTATCCATATTTTCATTTTAGTTATTAGGGTGGGTATTGCATATGATTTTAATTTGAATTTCTCTGATGACTAATGAGTCCAAGACCTTTCCTTATATTAATGGTTATTGAGATGTCTTTTCATTGGAAGTGCTTGTTCAAGTCTTGTACCCATTTTTTTCTTATTGCATTATGTTTTTATTGATTTGTAGGAATCCTTTATATTCCAGATATGAATCTTTTAAGATTATATGTGTTATAAATACCTCTGCCCACTGTATGACTTGATATTCACTATTTTTAATGGTATTATTGGCTAAACACTCTGTTTTAATGTACTCAATGTATAATTCATTTTCTTTATAGTTGGTGTTTCTGTGTCAGTATATAGAAAATTTTTCTATCCAGGTTCAAAAAGATATTTCCATGTAATCTATTCTAAAGACATTATTGTTTGCACTTTCATATTAAGACCCATGATCCCTCTGAAATTGATTTTGGATCATGATGTGTCATAAAGATCAACTTTTATCCATTTGGGCATCCAATCAACCCAATGTCATCTTTGGAAAAGACTTTGTCACTGCAAAGTGCAAGCTTTGTCATTAATCTATTATCCACATAAGTGTAGGTTCATTTTTGGACTCTATTCCAGTAATGTAGTTGTCTATACTTGCACCAATACCACATTGAATTAGAGCACCATTATCAATACTATTGTCATTTGATTAGAGTAACTCCTCCAACTTTGTTCTTCAAAACTCTCCTGACTATTCACAGTCCTTTGCAATTCTGGCTAAATTTTAAAATCAACCTGTCCAATTCTACCAATAATGTTGAGGGTAAGTTGATTAAATCTATACATCTCAAATTAATTTTTAGAAAATACCGTTTTACAATATGGACTCTTCCAATCCCTTGTCATGATATAGTCCATCATTCATTTTGGCATTCTATAATTGCTTTTATAAATGTTTTATAATTTTCATTTAGATGTCTTATGTATGCTTTACTAGATTTATTCTGGTACTTGATGTGTTTTTCTTTTATTATCAATATTTTTAGATTTTTATTTACTAATTCATTGCTACTGATATAAACACAATTTTTTAAATTGACATTTTATCCAGGAACCGTGCCAAATTTACTTAAAATTTCTAATAATCTATCTATATATAAGTTTGGGTTTTCAACATACCCAATCATATTACCTGTGAATAATAACAATTTTACTTCTTTCTCATTTGTATGCCTTTTATTTCTTTCTCTTGAGTTATTGCACTGGCTGAGACTATCCAGTACAATATAGAATAGAAATGACAACACCAAGAATCCTTGTGCTATTCCCAATCTTGTGGAGCAAATGTTAAATACAGTACTATAAATTGTGTTTGTAACAGTTTTTTTGTAGATCTACTTTATCAAATAAAGAAAAATCTACTTCACTTCAAAAATGTTTCTATGTTTTGTGACTATCACATTTTATCAAGCATTTACCCAGATAATCATATTATTTTTTCTCATAATCTGACAATGTGGATAATTAAACTAATATTCAAATGTTAAAAACCTTATGATCCTGTATTATTTTTTAAATTTTGCATTAAAGGCCTTTATTAGATAAGGCACTATTCATGTATTCTAGTTCTTCTTGTGTCAATTTGGTAAGTTGCATTTGTATGGGCAAGTGTCCACTGAACCTAAGTGTTCAATAATAATGCCCTCTTAGTCACCTCTGAAATGAACAGAGTACATTGTTATGATCCTTATTAGTTTCTTAATAGCTAGTAATACATTTTAGCTCATGTTCTCTTAAACTGTGTTGCCAAGAATTTATCCATTTTATTATTCTTGTCAAAGAATCAACTATTGGTGGTGTTCGTTCTCTCCATGCTATGTTTGACTTTTATTATTAATTTCTGCTCATTATTTTTCCCCTTCATTTCTTTTTGGAGGAATTGATTTGATGCTATATGTTTAACTTCATGTGATCAATACTAAAATCTCTCATCCAGCAAAATTCTCTCCTCCTGTGGCAGCCTCCCTTCTTTACCCACTCATACCAAGACTAGGTAATTGGTACAAGATATGGAAGCAACCTCTTATCTTTGCACAACTATGAGGCACTTATCTTTCTCTGGAATGTATTTGTATTTTTTTTTATACTTTAAGTTTTAGGGCACATGTGCACAACGTGCAGGTTTGTTACATATGTATACACATGTGCCATGTTGGTGTACTGCACCCATTAACTCATCATTTAACATTACGTATATCTCCTAATGCTATCCCACCCCACAACAGGCCCCGGTGTGTGATGTTCCCCTTCCTGTTTCCATGTGTTCTCATTTTTCAATTCCCACCTATGAGTGAGAACATGCGGTGTTTGGTTTTTTGTCTTTGCAATAGTTTGCTGAGAATGATGGTTTCCAGCTTCATCCATGTCCCTACAAAGGACATGAACTCATCCTTTTTTATGGCTGCATAGTATTCTATGGTGTATATGTGCCACATTTTCTTAATCCAGTCTATCATTGTTGGAGGTATTTGTATATTTTTAAGCCAATACTCCAAAATGATATTTTAGGGGAAAGGGAGGCTAATTTTCAGTTTGCCCAAGGTTTTCCTGGTATTAGAAGAAAATAGAAAGTATTTCCCACTGTTGCACATCCTAACAAAAAGTAGCTCTCTATCGTGACATTTTTTAGTGTAAAACTGGCTTTCCACTTCTTGCTGAAGGTGCAACCTTGATCATTACATTCTGACAAGTTTGCAATTCTGTTTTGTCATTTGTTTAGAAAAGTGGGAAGATAAGTGAGAATAATTAGTCTCATTCTCTGTGATTTACTGAAGATAAATGTGTCTTGGGACACTGTGGAGCTGCCTCATATTATACAAAAATGAATAATTTCGCCCAGTGATTGATATTTTTGCAATAAATGACTGCTATTTACTCAGCCAATTCTGAGGGCTTCAGCTTTGCAGCTGCGACAAAGAAACTTATGCTCTTTTCTGACCACATTTCATAAAATCATTGGGCTTTGAAAGAAAGACTTTGAGAGATCATCTTGTCAGACATCTACCTTCAAACATTTCCAAAAAGCTGCTGTTTCTCTTCCTATATTTAACTAGGGGTAGAATTATTTTCCCCTATCCCTAAGAAATTTACTCCACTTTTCTTTAACCTGGTGGTAAAGCTTTCCATGATTATATCTTTTTAAAATCTCCCACTTTGTTTTATAATTTTTACTTACAGGTCCAAATTTTAATCAGACAAATGCAGTTGCTTGTCTTAAACTATACCCTCTAGGGTGTATGGAAACCCACCACATCACACATTTAGAAGTTCAGGTCTATCTAAATGTGTTTCTATTTCATTGAAGTCTGTTTTTTGAAAGGAACCATCAACGGGTCTGTGATGCTGTCTAAATGCTTCTACATTGCTAACTACATGAAGTTAGCCACTACCCTAAATGCTACCAGACCTGAACTGTATCTTTTCATTCAAAAGGGCATTACATGCTATATAGTCAAGCGTAATTTATTAAAGTACTTTCTGCCAGCACACTCAATCCTTCAATCTCTCACTCCTTTTTGCATAATAATCACCATATTGAAATGTATTAGCAAATCTCATTTATGAGAATTCTAAGAAATATAAACAGAAGTTCTTTCATCCACTTTTCTTTACCTATTCTTGAATTTTATTGTCTTTTTTCCTTGCTTTTGCTACATTCAGTTTCATTTCCAAATTTTTCCTTACACTAGGAAGAAACCTATACTATACATCCGTGAAATGTTTCAAAGTTCTCTTTGCTCAGTGGAGATCCTTATGGTCAATTTTCCTCTCCCTGCATTTCCCCTCAATACTCTGACCCTACTAATGGTTTCTGATCAGGACCCCAGGGCAACCTAACGATGTCACTATTGAACCTATAGCTAGAGTTGCGCCCAACACAAAAAGTTGTATTCATATTTAGCAACAAATTCTGGTTGAGATTAAAAATTACTTTAAAGATCTTGATATCATATATATATAAATTATTGATGCCATATATTTATAAATTCATAGAACATTTTCAGTCTCGTCACCTTTCTTTTTGTGTTCTGAGATCACTAGTTTTATTAATTGCAAAATAAATTAGAAAAATATCCTTTTATGTGAGACCTCAGTCAAAACTATTTGAGACCAGAAGACAATGTTGTTTTTCATAGCAGTATGTGATATCCCTCATGGTAATCCACCTCTTTGTATAGTTTTTCTGGCCCCATATCTGCATCTCACTCATAAACAAACCCTTTATTCAAATTTCTTACTACTTTATTGAATGATTAGTAAGGACCCTGGCCCATGGGGAGCCCTTCAGAGGTCCAGGGTTTCTGTGGTTGGATAGACTTCTATACCTAAGTTTGGAATTTTGCATTAAGGAACTGACTTAGTTATCAATGTAAGCTTCAACACCAATATCAATTTATCAAAAATAAAAGCAGTATCTTAGCCTCCGTGTGTAGATTTATTTTTCCTTATTTTTGAGTCTGCTCAGAATATGAGTAGGAAAGAGGGTTCCTGTGATTCAGATCCCTTAAAATCTCAACAGCAATAAGCTCCTCTTCATTTAGCTCCCACTTGTAAGTGAGAACATGTGGTATTTGGTTTTCTGTTCCTGCATTAATTTGCTAAGGATCATAGCCTCCAGCTCCATCTGGGTTCCTGCAAAACAAAACAAAAAAAAAGACCTCGTTCTTTTTTTACGGCTGCACAGTATTCCACAGTGTATATGTACCACATTTTCTTTATCTAATCTGTCATTGATGGACATGTAGGTTGATTCCATGTCTTTGCTATTGTGAATAGTGCTGCAGTGAACATTTGAGTGTATGTGTCTTTACGTTAGAATGAGAAGCGAACGACAGACACTGGGGTCCACTTGAGAGTGGAGGGTGGGAGGATGAAGAGGAGCAAAAAAGGTAATTACTGGGTACTGGGCTTAATACCTGGGTTATGAAATAATCTGTACAACAGTCTCCCATGACACAAGTTCACTTATGTTCAAACCTTCACATGTGCCTCTGAACCAAAAATAAAACTTTTTAAAAATATATATTCTATTAAACCTTCTTGGTAATAAAGTTGGTTCTAGCCACACAGAATAATGGATTCTAGCCACACAGAATAAATAAATACATACATAAGCTCCTCTTGTCTGACTTCTGCCTCTTCATGACTTCCCACAGCACTAGGAGTATAATCCTATAAGACCTTATATCTTCTGGCCCTGCCGTCCTTGTCAATACCATCTTGTACAACTTATTTCCTCGCTGACTGGGCCACAGACTCATTTTTGCTCTCTTATAAAACACTCTAACTTAGGTTACAGTTTGTCCACAAGGACTTCAATGTAGAGGTACAGAATCCTTCTCAGGCCATATTTAGTTTGCTTTAATGTCAGTTTCAGGTGTTCTGTTATTAGCAACAGAAACTAAACTAAGATGATGGGATGATACAATATGTATTCTTTTGTGACAGGCTTCTTTCATTTAGTAAAATGTTTTCAAGCTTTATCCAGGTTGTAGCATGCATCAGTCCTTCATTCTTTGTGATGCTGCTTAATATTTTATCATCTGGATATACCACGTTTAGTTTATCCAACATTTGATGGATGGATTTTTTCCATTTTTTGGTTATAGGGTGCAAGTTTATGTGTGGACATATATTTTCATTTCTTTCAAGTAGATACCTAGAAGTGGAATTGCTCTGTAAAATACTATTTTGAGGAACTGCCAAATGGGCTGCACCATTCCACATTCCCATCGGCAATGTATGAGGGTTCCAATTTCTCCACATTCTCTCCAACACTTCTTATTGCCTGCCTTTTTGGCATAGCCATTCTGCAGATTGTCATTGTGGTTTCGATCTGCATTTCTCTAATGATTAATAATGTTGAGCATTTTTTCATATATTTTGTTAATTTGTATATATCTTCTTTGCAGAAATATCTGTTTAAATCCATTGTCCATTTTGTAATTGGGTTGTCTTTTTATATTTTATATTAAAAGCTATTTAGGCCAGGTACGGTGGCGCATGCCTGTAATCCCAGCACTTTGGGAGGCTGAGGCAGGCAGATCACCTGACATCAAGAGTTCCAAAGCAGCCTGGCCAAGATAGTGAAAACCCGTCTCTACTAAAAATACAAAAATTAGCTGGACATGGTGGCGGGCACCTGTAATCCCAGCTACTTGAGAGGCTGAGGCAGGAAAATTGCTTGAATCCAGGAGACGGAGGTTGTGGTGAGCTAAGATCATGCCACTGCACTCCAGCCTGGGTGACAGAGCAACACTCTGTCTCAAAATAAAAATAATTTTAAAAACTATTTATATATTCCAGATATGATTCTCTTCCTAGATACATGATTTACAAATATTTTCTCCCATTCTTTGGGTCATCTTTCTTGATAGTGTCCTTTGAAGCACTAAATTTTTAATTTTAATGAAGTTCAACTAATTAATTTTTTTGAGATGGAGTCTCACTCCATCACCCAGACTGGAGTGCAATGGCACAATCTCGGTTCACTGCAACCTCCGCCTCCTGGGTTCAAGTGATTCTCCTGCCTCAGCCTCCTGAGTAGCTGAGATTATAGTCGCATGCCACTACACCCAGCTAATTTTTGTATTTTTAGTAGAGACGGGGTTTCACCATGTTGGTCAGGCTGGTCTCGAACTCCTGACCCCATGATCCGCCTGCCTCTGCCTCCCAAAGTGCTGGGATTACAGACATGAGCCACCACGCCCGGCCTAATCTTCTCTTTTATTGCTTGTATTTTTGGTGTCATAGCTTAGAAATTATTGCCTAACCCAAGATCATGAAGATTTCTTCCTGTTTCGTTTTGTGGGTTTTGTTAACTCTGTATGAGAGCATGAGCTCTCATAGTTAGGTCTGGGTCCCATATTTATTTAGTTTTTGCATGTGGTGGTAGGGGTCCAAATTTATTCTTTTGCATCATGTGGATACCCAGTTGTTCCAGCATCATTTGTGAAACAACTATTCTTTTTCCCATTGAATTTGCTTGGCTTCTTAGTGAAAAATCAATTGACCATAAATGTATGCGTTTATTTCTGGGCTTTTGATTCTATTACATTAATTTATATGTTTATGCCTGCCAGCACCAAAGTGACTTGATTTCTGTAGCATTGTAGTAAATTTTGAAATAGGGAAGTATGAGTCCTCTAACTTTATTTTTCCTTTTCAAGATTGTTTTGGTTATCTGTACTGCCTTACATTTCCATATAAATGTGGGGATGAGATAGTTTCTACAAAAAAAAAAATCAGCTGGGATTCTGATAAACATTGTGATGAATCTGCAGATCAATTTGAAGTGTATTACCATCTCAATAACATTAAAACTTATGAATCATGAACATGGAATAACTTTTCATTTATTTGGGTTGCCTTTAATTTCTTTCACCAATATCTTACAGTTTTTAGTGTACAAGTCTTGCAATTCATGTTTAAAATGTATTCGTAAGTATTTATTTTTGATACTATTGGAAATGGAATTGTTTTCCTAATTTCTCATTCAGATAATCCATTGCTAGCACATAAAAACACAGTTTTTATTGATCTTGTATCCTGTAACCTTGACGAATTTGTATATTACTACTTTTTTTTTATTATACTTTAAGTTCTAGGGTACATGTGCACAATGCGCAGGTTTGTTACATATGTATACATGTGCCATGTTGGTGTGCTGCACCCATTAGCTCATCATTTACATGAGGTATATCTCCTAATGCTATCCTTCCCCCCTCCCCCCACCCCACAACAGGCCCCAGTGCGTGATGTGCCCCTTCATAGACTGGATTAAGAAAATGTGGCACATATACACCATGGAATACTATGCAGCCATAAAAAAGGATGAGTTCATGTCCTTTGTTGGGACATGGATGATATTAGATACTTTCTAATTTTTTCTTTCCTCCTCACAACAATGGTGCACAAAGGTTGTTATTATGCCATTTTTCCAGATACTGCCTGGAAAAAGAAAGAGGAATTCTGAGACTCAGAGATTAAGAAAAGTGCTTGATAAACAAAGTTAGAAAGTTGTAGAGGGTATAAATACCTCACGCAGGTTCTAATATGTCATGTGCCCTCCAATGAACCTTTTTCTTCTTAGGCTTAGCAAATTACTCTCAATATTACCTTATGGGCAAATAAGAATTTTGACAATTTCTGCACCTCAGGTATGTCACCTCTGTTTTTTTTACTGTATAAATCTGTAAACTATCACCAAATGGGTTTCTCTAAAATGACTTCATGCTTAGTGAAATATACTATATGATTCATTATTCAGAAGTAGAAACTCATGTCCTAAGAAAGGCTTTTTCTCTTTGTACAATTGTTTAAGTCTCTGAAGGGCTAAATATAAATGATCCTTGAAAATGAGGATAGAAGAAGGGATTTTTTTAAATAGTATTTTTAATCTGTTAGTGATTCAATTTGCTCCGTATTAAATGGTATTCTGCATATCGAGGTAACTTATAGAACTGTAGGCGTGTGATATGCTAAAAGCACTGAAGATTAATGAAAAGCCAAATGACAACACTGATAGGAAATAAATAAAACTCTTGTTTTCTCAGTTTTTATTTCAGGCAATGAATTGTCTTAGATTCCAAAGTCAAGATGGTACGGGACTCTATATAGTAGTGACATTAGACTTAAGTCCTATTTTATTTCACTGGATTTCAACAGCTCTTTAAAGCAGCCCCATAACAAACAAATCCCTTGGCGATATCCACTTCCACGCTGTATACTGACTGAAGTCCCTTGGAAAAGGAAATGTGCTGCATTACAATTTCAAAAATAGCAAGAGATTGAAAATTAATGCACCAAAGAGCATGTTGTTTTGGCCTTTTGTCTAAAGGGCAAATGCAGACAAATCAGTCTAGAGCTGTGTGCCATATATAGGGATTTGCTTCCTACACAAAACTCCAAAGAAAACAGTGCATTCAAATGGTAATGAAGAGAGGGCCTGGATGCAGATAATGGTGTATTAAACTTGGATGAGCTAATTGTGCATTTTCATGTGAATCAGCCTCCTGCTAAGACTCATTAGGAATGCACATTAAAGATATAGACAAGTGCACCGCCTTTTAATCAAGTGTCTTATTTCTAACAACACTATTAGTATTGTGAGCATTCTAGTAAGTGAAAATTTTGACTGAAATTTAATTGTGCAGCCCAGAAATTTGATTCTGTTTCAAAGCTGTAAGTATATCTTCATGTGAGGGTGAAATAAGAAGTGGAGGGAAATAGAGGGTGGACTAGAATAGGAATTGATCAATTACTTTTTTTTTTAATCTTAAAAACTAATTATGCTGGCCTATTGAGCTGGATTCTTACTTGGAATCCATACAAATCCTTACAAAATATCAGTCTACAGATGGTGCTGGGGAAATGACAGTTTAGACCACAGCAGCATTGCTCAGGAAAAGTGAGAAGCATTTCTGCAAAAGGGTGATGAAAAACAGGGGGAGCCCAGGGCTCCTGCCACTGCCTCAGATGGAGAGATGCTGCATACAAACAATCAGCACACAGAAGTAGAGGAAAATACTCATATGATTATGATTAGACACATAGCAGGAGAGCAAAACATGATTTAGCTTATTAAGCAATTGAAATCCAAGTGGATCAGCCTTCAAATTCTAAAATTTCTTGCAGAAGTATGTTCTTTTTCTTCTCCCAATTCATATTATACCACACTTGTAAGAAGCAAACACTCAAAATTTGTTTGCATTTGATTCTAATGTGTATTAGAGATTTTAAAATTTTTAACACAAACACAAAAGATTTATCTTTCTAAGCTATGTCTTAATATCGAAGTCACTTTTGTGGGCTTTTGGAATTATGGCACACTGATCACTTATCACTGCCCTACTCTCATTCCCAACACCGTCTCTGGAGTAGGTGATTGACAGAGACAAGAATGCTGTTGGTGGACCATTGAAGGTATACAGAAGCCATAAGTCCTGCTGGGATGTCAGGGAAGGAAATCAAGTCAGGGCTTTCTTCTCCAAGGGACCTGAAGTAAAAGATAAGGTTTGTCTCTCCTCGATCTTGGGGAGCTGCTCATGAAGAGTCCAAAGTGGGTGCAGTTTTGGTGTCTCTGGAGTATGGGCAGCACATGTCTGTCTGCTTCTTGTGATCTTTAGAGCAGCTTGTGTAAACCCTACTAATGGGCCCAGGTGAAAGGAAGTAGCACATATGGTCAAGGCCTACATCTGGGACATGGCAGTTGATCCCTTGGATAAAAAGAGCAGAGAGATTTCCTCCCTAAACTATAGCAGAAGAATGAGTCTTCATGTTCATTTTCTGTAAGCCCACAGAACTGCCAAGCCTTCCATCACCTGCTAATTTGCTTCTGCGGAAGAGACTGGCATGCCAAGATACACAGTTAAAAGGATATACAACCAAGACTTGCTTTAAGGAAAGCATAGGTGGCCGGGCGCAGTGGCTCATGCGTGTAATCGCAACACTTTGGGAGACCGAGGTCGGCAGATCACTTGAGGTCAGGAGTTCGAGACCAGCCCGGCCAACATGGCGAAATCCTGTCTCTACTAAAAATACAAAAATTAGCTGGGCATGGTGGCACTCACCTGTAGTCCCACCTACTCGGGAGGCTGAGACAGGAGAATCACTTGAACCCGGGAGGCGGAGGTTGCAGTGAGCCAAGGTCATGCCACTGCACTCCAGCCTGGACAAAAGGGCGAGACTCCATCTCAAAATAATAATAATAAAACATAGGTAATTGTCGTGTGACTTAACAAACAAGAGATAAATTGAATATATATAAAGTTAGGTTCATGGAAAAACATAAAATCTCAGAAGGAATTCAAAATGTAAGAGCAGGTATGAGACACCAATAGAAATTGTGAAGACCACTGTGAAATTTCGTCCAGGAGATAAATGATCTCAGCAGACACATAGTTATAGAAGAGAACGGAGCATTAATTAAACTTTTACCTTTAAAATGATCTCACTCCAATTCACCATCTAAAGCTGGCATTTTTTTTGCTAATGACATTGAAGAAAAATTTAATCCCTAACTCATACAAAGTATACAGATAAATTTCATGGTAAAAATTGTGAAAATATTTCTGGAGAAAAAAATACAACATACTGAGAGGAACTTCTTAAAATAACCCTGTTTTATCACATAAAATAATGGTTTGCCAAAATCTTCATAAACAACAACAAAGGCTAACCAATAGACTGGAAAAGCATTTAGAGTATGACAAACAAGAGGCCAATACTGCTAATATGCATAGAGTTCTTTAAGTTAATAAGAGCAAATCAAACAAACCAATAGAAAATTCAGTAAATGTTATTAGCAAACAAGCTAAGGACACACAAATGGCTGTTGAACACAGTAAGATTTTCGGCATCACTAGGCATCCAGATTATGTATCATGAGTAAAATATAATTTTTCACTCATCAGATTAGCCAAGTTTAAAAAATGTATAGCATCTTGAGATGGAGGGAATTTGAGGGGAAAAAGGGCATGTCCACCATTGTTTGGGAGAGAATTTTGGGGAAAAATAAATGGCACGTCCACCATTGTTTCAAAAGTATGAATTGCAACAATTTTTTTGCAAAATAATTGAATAATTTTCATAAATTTAAAACACACCTATTATTGGAGTGGGTTATCACACACTTTGGAATATTCTTTTCTTTGCTTTCATTCTGTTATTTTTCAATGAAAAAGTTTAAAGTCTAAAATTTCTAGATTGATGTGTAAGCACAGAGAAGGGTTTGGACAAATATGCCTCAAATTGTTAAAAGGTTATGGGGAGTGTATTAAGAAGGTGATATTAAGTTTATTTTGAACATTTATACATTTTTAATTTATAACTATAAATTTGTATGGTTTTCTTTGACAAACATATTAAATACATTGTGTATATCATGTATAGTATATATTTGATATTTTGTATATATCACATATATAAATTTGATATGCACTAATCTCTATCATTAGTTTATTAGCTCATGGTCCTCGAATCACATTAATATATGGTCATAAGAAACTTTAGAATTAAATGCTTTTTAGACTCAACTGAGGATCCGAGTAATGTGCTAGGTCTGCATGGTACTTCCTTTCTTAAATGCTGGCAAGCCAGCATCTCACTCTGTCCCATGCTAGATGCGGCTTCTTGCCTCTTAATCTTGATTTAAAACAATTTCCCCAACACTATAATTTGCAGGGGGGTGTCATCGTGGTTATTTCCACTACCCAAAAATCCATCATTTCAGAAGGGTAAACTGTTTAAATAATACTACAACTTACCCAGAATAAGATAGTTAATATTTCATGTGCTTGCAATTTATAGAAACAAGTGTAGAATAGTGAAGAACAACAACTTTATAGTCAAATCTGAAGCCGGATAAGGTTAGGCCCTATAACCATCGTGAAAAGCTCCTCTGTCAACTGCTCAACTTGGAAAATAACAGTAATAACCTTGTTGGTTGCACATATGCATTAACCTTATGGTTACATACATGCATTAAAAATAGGCAGGAATAGGTCATGTATAGTGGCACTGTCTGATAATGTCTCCCCATCTACAACTAAAAATAGATGACCCACTACCTGGTTTCACTATATTTGCATTAAATATTTACAGAAATGTTGGATAGAAGAAAGATCAGACATGTTCCACGATGCCTCTGGAGAATTAGGGTAAAGCTGAGGCTACTGTTGTTACCAATCTCCTTCTAAGTTAGTAAAAGGAAAATTTTAACATTTGCATAAGGATGAAGTGAGTGATTCTAAAAACATGTGCTTTGCTTTAACAGAAAGTATGGGACCAAATGATGTAAAAGCCTGAGGGAATTTCCCTTCCTGAGATTCTGATTCTATTCCTTGCACTCTGCTAGCAGCTAGTCAGGGAGAGAGCTCAGGCAGAGAGTGGGGTATATGAGCAAGAGGGATATAAGACAGTGCTCCTATCTCAGAAGATTAGTCTCAGGAGAAGATCATCAGTTCTCAACAAGAACTAAATACAAATGGCTAGTGGCTGTCATATTGGATAACACAGCTTTCATGTATTGGGACTCAATTAAATCTCATAGTCCCATATAAATGTTAAAGTTTTACAGATTTCTGTTTACGTTTTCTTCAGCAGTTTTATCATTTTCAATGTGATTTACTAAAAGCAGTGCAGCCATTTGTTTTTCTAAATCCCTTCTTGTTAGTCTAGACTTTTGTGGGCGTTTATTTTACAACATTTACAACCATGAAAGCTAAACTTATGGCTTATTTCCCATATCAAGATTAGATCTACCTACACATTTTCAGTTTTATTTTCACATTTACTTTTATATTTTCAAAAATTCCTCCTTTGCTGATCCTTCCCAGAAGACATTCATACCTTAATAGAAAATATGAACAGCAAGTATGAGATGGGAATGTTTATTGTTCTTTCTAATGAATTTCATTTTTGTAAAGCTTGTTCATGCTATAGTCTGCTTAGTGAAGACAAAGCAAGGCTATCTATCATCTTTGGTTAGTCCACACAGTGTCAGACTATCATACAGAGACTCGAGTAACTTGATACTAAGAAATAGGAAATCTCTAATTAATCATAATGACTTAGAAGTTCTGTATTTGAAGTAGCAAACAGAATGGAGCAGGGATACAGTGTGATCAAAGAGAAGAAAATGTGGACATCTAATCCAAGGAAGCAAGTAATGATATTTTATTATCAAAATTATTCCTCAACTTCTTAGAAGTCATGATAGATATCTCAATTTTTAAAACTGAGAAATAACAGAAACTTCTTAATGAGGCCCTTATCTTGGTATTAAATTTTAATGTAAATGCTCACCTAGGACCTAAATAGATTGAAGAATGAGTAACGTTTCTGACATCTTTAATAGCAGATTCACAATAACCATTTAAGCTTTTGACACATGCACACTTATGTTTATTGCAACACTGTTCACAATAGCAAGACATGGAATCAACCTAAATGCCCATCAGTGATAGACTGGATAAAGAAAATATGGTACGTATACACCATGGAATACTATGCAGTCATAAAAAAAGAATGAGATCATGTCCTTTGCAGAGACACGGATGGAGCTAGAGGCCATTATCCTTAGCAAACTAACATAAGAACAGAAAATCAAATACCATATGTTTTCACTTATAAGTGGGAGCTAAATTATGAAAACTCGTAGAAACATAGAGGGGAAGAACAGACACTGGGTGGGAGGAGGGAAAGGATCAGGAAAAATAACTAAAGGGTACCAGGCTTAATACCTGGGTAATGATATAATCTGTACAACAAACCCGTTACAGTTAAGTTCTCCTAAAACCCAAACATAATACATCACACTTTAACTTAAATCTTTTCCAAAGTTCCTCATTATCTGGAGTCTTGGCCAGTCTTTCTCAGTTGGGGTTCCCTATGTAACAGACCTGCATGTGTATCCCTGAACTTAAAAGTTAAAAAAATTAAAATAAAAATGTTTCTTTCATTTTAGCTTCTATTCACTTATTTTTATTTCGTTTCCAGCTGTAGTTTTGCTCATTTTTCAACTTAAGAAAATTCACCCATGCCTGAGTAGGGCCTTCATTATAGTGAATCATAGGATGTAGACAGTGTCAATAAAATACAGCAATTATGCATGTACAATCTACAAGGAGAAAAAATCCTGTTTATATTTGTTTATACCCTTATGGAAGAATCATTACAACTTTCATAAAAGCATTATTTAGTAGGAATTAATATGGCAGAATAAAGCCATGGCTTTTAATGATCATTAGACAGACAGAGGCTACAAGATTATAATTTGTAGTAACTATAATGTAAGCCCACCATCAGTGAAATAAAGATCCCATGATCAAGAAGAGAAAAAGGGAAATTGCTATCATAATCTTAGTTCCTGATTTTAAATATCTGCTGGTCTTCCACTAATGAGAAAATAAATCCAAAACTCACCATATACAAATAAAGCCTCATTGTGTGGTATAGTTATCCATTTCTTCCAGGACATAAAACCAGGCTGTAGAGGACGTCATGTGAGTTATATGCACAAGAAACTTTTTATAGCATTTATCCCTGTTGGGAATTTACATGGATTTGCGCTTCTTTGCTTAATGCCTGACGCCTCATTCAGTGGTTAAAGGCTAAGTCTATTTTGCTTATCATAATAGCCACAATATTTGACATCCAGTAGGTAGCCAATCTATGTTTGCTTTAAATGAGTGAATTAGTAATTCTTGTGCATCCATCATCTTCTTTTGATTACCATTTTCATTTCCGTCATCACCCTTCATGTTTAAATGATCTAGTAATCATTAATTTCACATTCTTCAAACTCTCCTAAATACTGTTGCTGTTAAGTTCTCCTAAAACCCAAACACAATATGTCACACTTTAACTGAAATATTTCCACAGTTCGTCATTATCTAGAGTCTTGGCCAGTCTTTCTCAACTGGGGTTCCCAGAGACGATGAAACCCAAATGCCCTGGACACTCATTGTATGTAACAAATTAACTTCCTTCCTATCCATCTAGATTGCTGATAGTTGTTACCAACTTCGGAAGTGTTAAGAAAATAACCACACAACTTATTTTATGTAATGCTTAATTATTTTGTGAAACCCCAGTTAAGAAAGACTAGTTCCAGGTCAACAACATGGATCTGCCTTAATTTTCTAGTTTATTCTCCCGTAACTCCTCTTCACATCTCCTTGGCATCATCCAAACCAAACGCTTTGCAGTTACCCTCAGCTGTTTCTGTTTCCACCCATTAGTAGTCTCAGTTCCTTGCGTATTCATTATGTGTCTCTTTGGATAAAATTTTACCACGTCTTTAAGATTTACCACAAATATTCCATGAAGATTTTCTCTACTGACCCAGTATAATTTTTATTTCTTTTTTGGGCTTTCTCAATATTGTTTCACTTAACCCCATTTAGCTTATCATTACAGATATTTTTTGTAATTTTTTTGTCTCTCCTGTGAGTTTCTTGAAGGCTGAACTTTTGTCCACAGGAAAAAAACATCATGTCTTTTGCAGAATAGATGCTAGGTTCAGAGGGCAGACCATCAGCTGCTGAGGGACAAGGTCTAAGCCGTGTGATAGCATCATGGAAAGATGTAGGAGAAAGAACAGTTGTCCTCTAATACAAAATATCATTGTTCCACTACTGCCTGGCATAAAGAACAAAGGCTTATAATGAGCCACGTCATGACAAAGCATTAAACATTAGGAGAAAGTATCAAGGGATTATTATTTACCTTTTCTTTGCAGATTTGTGTCATTAATTAAAATACAAGGATCTCAGACACACACACACACATACAGACTTTCTATGTCAGAGAGAACTATGCTCTATACTTAATCACTCTATTCAAGGGAAAGTGATTGGCATAATTGCATAATTGAAAAGAGAGTGAGATGCTTTCTGTCAAAATTTGATTGCAACACTTTCCTTCAAACTTCAGGAAGTTTCCTCTGACTATGGTTGAGACTCATTTTCTTGAACAAGTTGCCTCGATTATGCAAACATTACAGTCTTTTTTTTTTTTTTCTTTTTTTTTTGAGACGGAGTCTGGCTGTGTCACCCAGGCTGGAGTGCAGTGGCGCAATCTCGGCTGACTGCAAGCTCCGCCGCCCGGGTTCACGCCATTCTCCTGCCTCAGCCTCCAGAGTAGCTGGGACTGCAGGCGCCCGCCACTACGCCTGGCTAATTTTTTGTACTTTTAGTAGAGACGGGGTTTCACCACGTTAGCCAGGATGGTCTCCATCTCCTGACCTCGTGATCTGCCCGCCTCGGCCTCCCAAAGTGCTGGGATTACAGGCGTGAGCCACTGCACCAGGCCTAACATTACAGTCTTTTTGAGCAACTCTTTACTAATATTATTAACATATAATTATACAGTTCTATAAACATCCATGTACCCTCTTGCTCTAAATATATATGCATATACATGTATATACATATATATACACACATACGCTCATACATACATACAGGTGTACCTTTGAATGTATAGCCAGTTTCAGTTTTCTATATCCAGTTGCTTTCATAAAGCTCACTGTAATATGTAATCCACATCTGCAAAGCTGATTGTGGTGCTATTCTATTAGCAACGTCTTCCTGGCACATTCTCATTTATTATATTTAGTACACTATTGCTGCATTGTGTTAAATGCCCCCCTGGTGGCTATTTTAACAAGTAAACATGCATTTTTAAGTACTTAAAGAATCAGAATGTAAATCAATCACTACAAGTACATAACGGTCAATGTTTTATATAAAATTTTGCTGTTGGCTTACAGGTTGTTTACTGACCAGATTTAGAAAAGTATCTATTATTTGAAAATCAATTCAATTAAAAACTGTCTACTTTTGAGTCTGGACCTAATAGCAATCAACATATTCAGAAAAATTTGAAAAGTGTGTGGTAAGAGGTCATGAAAATTAACTCTGTTGGTGTAGAGTATTCCAGTAGAGAGCTGGCTGCTAGTCTGCAGTTTGGCTAGCATCTCTTACCAAACCTTGGCATGTCTACTCACAAAACTGATAAACTAGAGACCATCATATCATTTATGTTACATAAGTTCTTTTTTTTTTTTTTTTTTTTTTTTTTTTTTGAGACGGAATCTGGCTCTGTTACCCAGGCTGGAGTGCAGTGGCGCGATCTCGGCTCACTGCAAGCTCCGCCTCCTGGGTTCACGCCATTCTCCTGCCTCAGCCTCCTCAGCAGCTGGGACTACAGGGGCCCGCCACCACGCTTGGCTAATTTTTTTGTATTTTTAGTACAGATTGGGTTTCACCGTGTTAGCCAGGATGGTCTCCATCTCCTGACCTCGTGATCCGCCCACCTCGGCCTCCCAAAGTGCTGGGATTACAGGCGTGAGCCACCGCGCCCAGCCATACATAACTTCTTTTTCAAGTTAAACATCAGTAAATAAAGATATAGAGTTATAATTATGTGAGTATGTTTGATCATAATTTGACTTACAACAGTCAACGCTAAAATATCTAAAAATATATTCCTCAAGCCTTAAAAATGTTTATGAATGAGCGAACAAAACAAAGGCAACAAAAACCATATAGCATAAGATATCAAAGAAAGCACCAAAACAGAAATTACACTGAGCATTATTAAAATTAAAATTAAAAGCATTATAAAATTATAAAAAATTATAAAAAGCATTATAAAAATTAAAAGCAGAAGAAGCAATATATCATAGTAAGTGGAAATGAGATAAATTTCCTATTAAGCCTCTGACTGACCAATAGATAACACAAAGTGTTACCACACCCATCCAGGCGACTTAAGACTAAGCCCTCAATTGATGGAAACACCTTAAAGTTGTATCAAGAGCCCCAACAGAGAAATAGGCCCCTTTTTTGCAATAGTAAATTGTATTATACTAGAAAAATTGGTAATTCTCTGTAATGGAAATCTCGAGACAGCAAATACAAGGCCGTCTCAAAAGAAAAAAACCCAGAAGCCAATCAGCTGCTTGAAAAAATCATGTAGCGTAACAATACCTTGCAGTTTGCAATGACATTACCGAAGTTCTAGCTCATAAGAAAGCTAGAAAACTAGAAAATAGACAATAAAAAACAAGTTAGAAACAAAAGTTACTCTTCTAAAAAGAGTAGGAAGCAATGTGACTCAAACTATTCAGTTCAACTAGCTGTATGACTTGGAAAAAAATTACCAACCTTCCAATCTTCAATCATTTCATTGTAAGTATAATAAAAAGTTACTGCTCTCTCAACTTTTAGCTCTTTAAAATGTTACATCCTGTAAGCCAGTTTGCATTCGATATGCACACACACAAATACAGAAACACACATGCACAGTGGGATCAAAGTAGGTGAGTGATGTCTCTTGCTTACTTTTTTCCCTAAAGATTGAAAGGTTCTTTAAAACTTTATCCACACATAGATATCCGGGAAATGGGACTAATAAGGCAGAACTCACAGAGCAGATTTGCAGATTAAATAGGATTACAATATAAAACACTAAGCATCATACTTTGCACAGTTAGTGGTCACTGTTATCACCATTGGTTCCCAATGCCGTGGTCAGCCATGTGAATTACTGAGGGTAAGTTTTGAGCTGCGCAAAGGAACACTAGCATGTTGTCATTTGTACATTTGACTTATGCAAATCCAAGTGTAGGTGCTTGAGGAAAAGAACAGAGAGCGAGTACTGACTATCGACTTTCCACTCCTATCAATGAACACATGCCACAGTGGAAGTACAACCCTAGGAACAGAATGTGCTGTTTTTATCAGTCAACCCTTCTGTCTCCAGTATTGTGAATATCTCAGCGCACAAGTATGATTCTGGGGTTAAATGTGTACATTTTCATATAAGATAAAGCCAAAACGCAAGGCAAAAGTTCATCTGATAGTCAAGTGAAGACACAGTGATTGGATCAACGCTGTAGAAAAAGCTGTTTGGCTTTGTTGGTCTTACTGAGGTTATTCATGTCCATAGTATGTATCTTATGAGTGATTTGTGGGAATATTCAAGAGGAATATTTTACTATATTCCAGTTCCACCTTACAGGCAGACTTTAGAAACCTCAATTGTATAGGATGTACATTCACTTTATAAATGTGAGACGAAGAAAGGGAAAAGACAAGAATTATTTTTAATGGCCCCAATAAATGTTGGGTTTGCAACAAAACTCAAATCCAGCCCAGAAGCATAAACAGCAAGATGAATTGATCAGAGTGTGCCAGATGAAAGCTTAGCTAGTTAATTATTATATCATCTTAAGTGTAAAGACCAAAGATGTTGCAGTCATCAAAAGCAAACTTGATCACTAACCAGAGAGTGGTTCACGGTAGAGGGAAATGAGAAGAGGATCTGGTCTTGGGAAATGCCAACGACATCAACCCATGGACTGGAGACATGGCTAAAGATTCAAGTATCATGGGATTAAAATGCAGGGATGGTCATTTTATAGGCATATGCCTCTTTGATGTGTGTGTGTGTGTGTGTGTGTGTATGTATAAGAAAGAGAGACACAGACAAAGAACAAGATGGGGTGTTAGGGGCAGTAGGAAACTTGAGGAGAATACTAGAAACTGCCAGCAGATGATACAGCATTGAACATTTAGGGTTCTGCCACCTGAGAGGTGACAATCTAAGCTATGTGATTCTCAGGTACAGGAAAGGAACCTTAAATGCTTATTTGGCTGGGCTCTTACTGGTCTCAATTAGGGGGGCCACTGGTAACTACTAGACAGGATTCATCAGGAAGGACCAATCTGAGGAAATTGAAAAGTAGGAAATTAAACTAACGCAATCCTCCTCTCCCTAGTTATTCATTTAAAAGTTTGCCTCACTCTCAGTCACATGCATGGTGTCCAGGGCAATTTTCTACCCAGCTGGCCATGAGCAGGAGTGACTGTGCACCCTGAATGTCAGAGATACTTCTTCACAAGAATCTGTGAAGACTGCCAGCCCTGTGCTTTCTTTTTAAATCCCTCTTCCCAGAATATCCCCTGCCTGACAGTTGCTGGCTGATGGTGGGTACAGTGGGGAGAGTGTGGATGTGAGGCTCTGTGAGCGACACTCTTTACAGGCTCTCACTGTGAGAGGAAGGAACTGTGCATGGAGGCAGAGATTTCCACTAAATGTCCATTGGTCCTACTTCAATAAAGGCTTCAGACTTAAAGCCAAGAGAGAAACAGTTATAAAATCAGCTCGATGAAACCAGCTACATCTCCATGAAAAGGGCTAACTTTCTGTACTGTGGATAGGACCTTTGAATATCTTCAGATTTTAAAAATACACAGGTAGCAAACACTGCTGGTAGCTCTCATTCTCCATTAAAGGGAGAGCAATTACGTCAAAATGATAATGCAATGTGTATCCTCAACTCATATTATCTATTTGCTGTCCTTTGCGTGCAAAAAGATATGATAGAAAATAGTAAGAGAGAGAATTGCTAAGCAGCTGGTTAATCATGGCCTGTGCAATTATTATATTTTCATTCTGGCTCCGAAAAAGGAAACACTTAAAATGAATGAAATATGCATTGGTGCCGCTAGCAATGAAATTAAGCCACCTTATTAACTGTGCAATTTTTACAAAGGTTCCGAGAAATACTCATTAGGCCTTTTGTGTGAATTGAACTTCATCTCCAGCCCCATCTTAATTCCCAGAATATAAAGTAACACTCACTTAAACATCTCGGTTTTACTAAGAGATGACAAATAAAATACTTGGAGATTTTGGAAATAGAATACACATTAAGAAAAAAACAAGGTCCTTATTAGCTGTTTCATCTTTTATTTAGTTTATTCCTTATCGTGATCCTCTTATTGTTACTATTATCACTATTACTATCACTACCTTCAAATCATTATGCTAGGTTATTGCACAATATATCATTAATTCTTTAAGAAAAGCAGGCAAGACAGGAATTACCATTGTCATTTACTAAATAAGAAAAGAGGTTTCAGAGCACAATTAACTTTCTGAAGCTCCCATTACTAATAAGTCTGAACAATTCCAAAGCCCACATTCATCCCATCACTCATATTTCCATATACAAACTTGTCAAGAATCATTGGGAAAATGCATTTATATTTTACTATTATATGGGTCAATCTAATATTACTAATGTAACTTGAGACATTTTCATTAAATGTTCACTATCTTGCCATAAACGTTTTATAAATATTAATCTCAAATTATTAAAGTCTCTAAATACTTAATATTAAAGCCTCACACATTATTATTGCTCCTTCATCTTAAGGAAATCATCCAAAGAAATAGTCATAAAATGAGAATGTTATTGGTACTTTTTTATCACCAGGTTTTTAATCACTTTGAAATGATATTTGGCATTTTCAACTTGGAAAATGGAGCTATATGTTCAATTGCAGAGATTATGACTAAGAGGATTAACAGTAAATTCACAGCAAAGGAAGCAGCTACCTAGAAATAGTGTTTGATCTCAGGAATTTTCCACCTCCCTGCCACATCCTACAACATACCAGGCAAAAATAGAAGGAAAAATAATACAGGTATAAAACAGCTACCTGTACAAATTAAATTAAAAACAAAACTTCTATCTGAATAATAAGTATAATTATCTATCTTTACATTATATATATATATAAAATACTTGGTGGTTTAGAAGATTTTTATGAAGATTTATATATTATATATTATATATATAATATAAACCATCTTTGGTGCTTTAGAAGATTTTTATGAAGATTAATATATATAATACATATAATTTTTATATATTATATTTATAGATTTATAGATACAGATTTATATATAATATTTATATAGAGATTTATATATCTATAAAATATATATTATATATAAATATAGATTTATATATAATATTTATATATATAGATTTATATATATATTTATATATAATATTTATATATAGATTTATATATAATATTTATATATAGATTTATATATAGATTTATATATAATATTTATATATATAGATTTATATATATTATATTATATATATATAAATCTTCATAAAAACCTTCTAAACCACCAGACATCTTCTGTACCTATTAAAAAAAGAGTCTGCAAATATAACAATAGATCAAATCAAGGCTAATTAATCTCTGTACCACTAAATTGGTTGAACTCCAGTCAACTACGAGTTGACAACATTTCCATTTTGGACATCTCTACCTGCTCAAATATCCCCTTTGCTTTAAAGTCTCAAACCAACTTAATTCAATAAAGATACTTAAAAAAACTCATACTAATCATAAAAAATATTGAGTATATACTTCCTTCCAATACTGAGTATATACTTCTGGAGTGAGTTACATTTAGTGTGTCAAGCAAGTTCTTAGCTCACATTCATTTTGAGTCAGTACTATCATTTGCATACTCTTGAAACTGGAAGAGCTTTTTCCATGATGTTCAGCTTTCACATTTAAAATTGGGTAACAGAAGAGCTTCTGGACAATATTTCAAAGGCTATTTCCAATGGAGATAAGTCACCAATAATTAAAAATAAGGAGCTGGTACATATTCCTTCAGGCCATGGTATTGACAAATCACTCACCATCAGATACAAGCCACTAAACATGACACAAGAATTTAGAGGGAAGGAAACTGCATATTCTTCAGAAGGTGCATGATGGAATTTATTCTGTCCAGGTATTCATGATTTAGATAGTGGAAAAGAAGCAACAGCAAGTAATCACTTAGGTAATGGGTGATTAGAAATCCTTAAGGGAGGCTGGACACGGTGGCTCATGCCTGTAATCTCAGCACTTTGGGAGGCCAAGGTGGGTGGATCACGAGGTCACGAGTTTGAGACCAGGGCCTGGCCAATATGGTAAAACCCTATCTCTACTAAAAATACAAAAATTAGCTGGGCGTGGTGGCGCATGCCTGTAGTCCCAGCTACTCGGGAGGCTGAGGCACGAGAATCGCTTAAACCTTGGAGGCGGAGGTTGCAGTGAGCCGAGATCACACCACTGCACTCCAGCCTGAGTGACAGAGGAAGATTCCGTCTCAAAAAAAAAAAAAAAGAAGAAGAGGAAGAGGAAGAAGAGGAAGAAGAGGAGGAGGAAGAGGAGGAGGAAGAGGAGGAGGAAGAGGAGGAGGAAGAGGAGGAGGAAGAGGAGGAGGAGGAAGAAGAAGAAGAAGAAGAAGAAGAAGAAGAAGAAGAAGAAGAAGAAGAAGAAGAAGAAGAAGAAGAAGAAGAAGAAGAAGAAAGAAATCCTTCAGGGATATAGAAGACACTCTGAATTAGGAACCAACATTATTATCAAGACTATTATTACAGTCTTGGCTTTGACACAAACTATTTGTGTGATTTAGAACAAGTTGTTTTCCTCTGGGAGCTTCCCTTTTCTCATCTCTAAGGGCGTATTTAGGGGAAAGGAAAACTGACGAATTAGGGCTACGGTTTCTTGAAGTGTAAGTTCTAAAATTCCCAAATGACAAATGCACAGAATATTCCTTCAGCTAAAATGCCAATGGCCTGGGGCAAAGTATGGAGGCTCATCAGAGCATCATTGCTCTCTACAATTTTCTGGCCCCATTCAGACCTCTCCTTAATAAAAAAAAAGGCAAGGCGAGGCTCGTGTTGTTTCTACACATTGCTACATATCTTCATCTTCAAGATAGAGACAAGATGATATACATACAGCCACCTCATACAGTTGTCCAACTGACAACCTATGCAGCTATTTCCAATTGTCCTGGGCTAGACAGAATTTGAATATGTGGTATACTTGCCTAGATTAAGTGTGGGGTGAATATTTATGAAATAAAAACCTGCTAAATCAGAAGAACCAGTAGAAATAAAGGCATTAGAAACTAGGCATAAAGTTTAGAACAGGTAGAATCACTGCATTTAGCTGCAATCCTAATGGGAGATATATTTAACTGATGCCTATTTATTTTCTTTTTTGGAAATTTATAATTGACCATATTTTTAAAGAAAGAATTAAAGTGATAACTTAATGTGTGCATTTCTGGCTCAGATGCTTTTAAGATTAATCAAATACCTCAAGAGAAAATTAAGGGTTGAAATCTAATAAAAGCATTCCATATATTTCCAAATGAAATGCATAAATAGTTCTGTTTATTCATATCCAGCTGAAAGGCAGAAATATCTCAGCAGGTTTACCCCTTAATACCAGTGAAAATAGTGCAGTGTCAAAAAAACAAAACAATTCTCCATATTCCAAACCAAGTAGAAAATTTCACTGTACATTTTAAATAACTATCTTTATTTGCATATGCCTGTGAGAATGAGTATGGGAATACTGTATAGACGTGATTGTGTGGGTAACTGTGAGTGTGTGTGTGTTTTGTGGAGTGCTAAGTATTTGTGTCTCTATGAGAGAGAAATAGTATATATGTGTGTGTGTGTGTGTGTAAATATATGATCTTGTATGTAGCCATGTGGGTGTGAATGTGTATACATATTTGCACTTCCTAATGTGTTTTTATACAATGTTCAAATTGCTTAGGTCACACATCCTTCTTTAATAAGAAACAAACCAGCCTTCATTCAGTTTCATAGGAACTTCTTGCAACTAAATAATGAATTACACCTGCGCACACAGTAAGAATTTATTCTTAGTCATTTATGAAAACAATTTAACAAAGCATGAGAAGATTTGGGTATTTTACTATATTCATGTAGTTAATAATTTTTTAAGCTTTGATATGGACCAAGATATAAAAAGAGCAAATAAATGTTAACCTCCTAAGGAAAAGGTATCCTAAAAATTAGATAACTACAATTTAGTTTTTAGATACAAGATGGTTAAGTGTGTAATTTTTATTTTATACAGAAACATAATTCACAAATAAATCATGCCAATGTAGGGCAAAAGTCAAAATAATACAAAAGCAAATGATCTGCATCATTTTGCGAAGATCAAATGCTTCTAGAAATGACAAAATTATTATGGCGAGTACTAGGGTGGCAATGATGCAGCTCTAATTTTTCAATGGTGATTGGGAAATTAGGCAGTTAGATGTTAATGGTCATACTAAATCCATAATGAGGAGGCAAACAATCACATTAACACACACCATATGCTTACAATCATTTTGCTACGATTACTCTGCCACTTCTAAAGGGAGAGGAAAAGTTCGATTTAAATTGGGAGGAGAAATAAGAGTACATTTGAAGCTGAAACCAGAAATACAAGCAATTCTACTAGTTCCTTTCCACCAGGAATCTCCCTCCTATGCTTATGATCTTCTTAATGAGCCATCAAATTCTCTTCATTTATTTAGTTTATTCCCTCTTCCGTCTGTCCTCCTCTCACCTCTCTCAGCCTTCTCTCTTCCTTGTCTTCAACTCACTTATTCTATATCTGGATTTTCTTCTTAGCAGTTTATCTGAACCAATGGAAATCCTTGGCCCTGGCATCCATCTCTTTTTTTGCTAAGATGCACCAGCTCATTTGCAGTGCCACCTGCAATCACACTACCCTCCTCATCCACCCCACGCTCATGTGTTTAAATTCAAGAATGACACATTCATAAAATAGGTTTTCCATTTGATGACCAGCAGCCCCCCAAAATGAGTTCCCCAAAATCTGTACAATCTGCATACATATTAAAGGACAAAATTGACAACCATCTCTGGGGTTTTATTTTATTTAAGTTCTAGGATACATGTGCGGAACGTGCAGGTTTGTTACATAGGTATACGTGTGCCACGGTGGTTTGCTGTACCTATCAACCCATCATCTAGTTTTGCCCAGCTTCTACCTGGCACCTTTTTAATATTTTTAGTATATTTCATCTCACTTTGACCCAAATGAGAACCAAAGAGGGACTGAATAGGTGATATCAGTGAAAATAATGGAGTAAAAAAACCCTCCAAAAATCCTCTCCTCCATCAAAGCGATGAGGAAACTGGTAAAAATTGTTCAAATCAACATGCTCAGGACTCTGGAATTAACCAGAGGCTTGAGGCAATCCTGAGAGTGTTTATTAAAGAAAAATTGCTAAATCTCAGGTGTTTTGTGAGATTTGTGGTGTTTTATTAACTTGCCCTATTCTCATTCTCCCATGCCAGCTCAGTGACAGCCTTGAGGATAACAGCTGCACATCACACAGAGATCAGTAGCATGTTAGTCATTGGAGAGAGAACAGATCAGAGCTCCTTCAAAGCCCCATTTCAGATAATTGTCATTATTTGAACACTTTGGTAATTCTTTGGAAGATTCTACTTGCAAAAGCTGTCTTTACTTTTACTGACTCAGAGTTGACTCAATGCAAATAGATTTTTCCTGGAATGGGAGGAGAGGACATTTGTGAAAAACAATTATTAGAGACAATTGTTTAACATTGTGAATGCCAGAAGTAGTGGAGAACAGGAGGCAAACAATAGGGTAGTCATAACATTTAAAAGGAAAAGTTGGAGAATGAGATGTCCTTGGGGGAGATTGAAAAGCTGCAACATATTTCTGGAAATCTAAAAGGCCACACACAGAGGGCTCTGCATATGCCCAGGAAAAGACCTGAGAATCTCCTAAATTTTCACCTGTGGTTAAGCTGGAGGCTGTGCACTAGCAGGAAATGCAGGCTAGGCACATTATAAAATTCCTGCTGAGTGTTGAAGGCATGCCTTAAGACATTTCCTGATAAAGAAAAACTGAGTTTGTTGCTAGCAGATCTGCCCTACCAGAAATACTAAAGAGAGTCCTTCAGGCTAAAATGAACCAGATGGTGACTCAAATCCACATGGAAAAATAAAGAATACTCATAAAGGTATTTACCGGTGATGCTGTGAAGCTACAGAAGCCTCAGTCACCTGACATTTGACACCTCACAGTGACATAAAGACAAATTATTTTAAAAGAAATTCAAATGTACATTCTCCTCCATTTCTGTAAACATAGTTACACTACTTTTAGAACACCTGGCATATACACATGGGAAGTTTTTTAAAAAATGAAAATACATCTATAGAAATATTACAATAATTTCAGTAAAATGTATTGCATAATAGGTTTAGCAATTTCATATATATATACACACACACATAACACATATGAATTTATATATATGGATCAGTATGTGTGTAGATACATATATATGTTTTAGAAATCAAGTAAATTGATATTTTAAATAACTTATTTTTAAATTTCCATTTGATCACAATCAATAAATTTCCATTTTATAAAAATGTACTCAAATAATGAAATATCTGGCACTTCAGAATATTCCCTTAGACAATAATGTTCAGGGATATAGTCTGTAGAACCATTTTATCAAGTGGCAATTTAGAGATAAGTTGACTGATGTTCTGTATTATTTGATGATAGAAGCTTTATATGATAAAATGTTTTATTTGTATCTTGCACCTTTTTTAGAAAACATGTACTTTTCAAATAATTACTTCCCAGCCTAAGCTAAACATACATCATAAACTTAAAATATATTCCCACATTTCGGTCCTGCTAAATCCAAAGGCTTAAAAATAGGCAGCAATGAGGGGATATCAAGAGTCAGGGAAGGGAAAGACAGCATCTATGATGGAGAAAGTTTTAGAAGTTTGATTGTAGATGAAGGAACTTTGGTCAAGACATCTTTTAGTATAAAACTTCACTCAAAGATTACAATTCAAGAATCTTCCTCTATTTGGTTTATTTTCAATAATTTTCTGCCATCTTTGGATATTGCTTTGATTAATTTCTCATCTGAAGCTATCTTCTTTTACCTCCTTTTTTCCTTGGAAGAGCATACCATTTGTGTTCTTCGTTCAAAAGATAAACCACAACACATCCTGGAGGTCAGACACCCTACCTGTCAAAGTCTTAGGTGAACCTTCAATGGATAATTTCATCATCATTTCGGACAATTTGCCTCTAGGGATTGGAGTACTGGCTTGAAGAGTGAATTCTTGCTTAGGAATCCAAGAAAATGTTATATAGAATAATATGCCAATGGATAAGTTTATCTGTAAGCTTTGGATGGTAGAGCTACAAAAAGCATTGGAGTATGTGTTGAGTCTGCTAAAGATAAAATGTTGCTTCCTGTGAAGTGAAGGGTTCTCTTTGGGATTTATGAGAAGTGGTACCACATCTAAGGCTCAATATTGGTCTCTGCTGCTATAAAGTAGGTCACTCAGTATAGAAGCAACTAGATAACCCTTGGTGAGGAAGACCCCAAGTTTTGTCTGTACATTCCTCTGTTATGGACTGACTTGTTTCCCCTCAAAATTCAGATGTTAAAGTCCTAACGCCAATGTAACTATATTTGGAGATAGAGACTTTAAAGAGGTAATTAATATTAAATAAAGTCAGAAGGGAGGGTTCTTAATCCACTAAGACTGGTGTCCTTATAAGAAGAGGGAAAGGAAGAGACACCAAACATGTACACACAGAGAAAAAGCCAAATGAGAATGCAACAAGAAGGTGCTATCTGCAAGCCAAGAAAAAAGGCCTCAAGAGAAACCAATACTGCTGAAATCCTCATCTTATATTCCGTCCTCTACAGCTATAAGAAAATTAATTTCTGTTGTTTAAGCCACTCAGTTCATGGTATTTTGTTATGGCATCCTTAGCAGTGTAATACAACCTCCATTCTTGCAACCATAACCACTCTACTAAGTGACTGAGGGAGAGGTTGTCTAATGAAAGTGTAATGTGGCACTAATAGGCTTTGCCTATGAATCCTACAGCCAGACTGGGGCTTCATCTCTAACTAAAGTTATTGTAAGGAGCTTAGCAAATGCAATGAAGGTACTGGCAGGATTCAAGTAAATTCTTTGAACTCAAACCTTAGGGAATCAATTTAGTTATACATTTGAAGATATATTTTCCATACCCAGAATTATTCATCATCAAGAGTCTGATGGTATTCTTTTAAAAGGCATTTTACCTCTTCCATTATTTCTTAATACAGTCAAGAATTATTATCTACCACAGATTAAAGCAACATTGAATAGATGTTGGAATTTCATTTCAGAAGATATTGTCAGCCAAAGCCATCACATTTACTGTGTGCCATAAGACAAAAACTCTGATTTAACTTAAATTCCAGGACATAATTCATCTTAAGGGGCTTATTGGTACCAAGAAAGCATAGAAATTCAAGAGGTTTGACAATGTTGACTTTCAGCAATCATATTTTTGTTGCTGGTGTTGGTATTGTTATTACAATTTTGCATGTAAAGTGTGGGTTAAGGCAAATAATTCTGTAGATGTCGCTGAGGTACAGAATTATTTGTATGGGATAAAAGAGAGAGAGAAACAAGATACATAAGGCTAAACAAAAATCCTATTGTTCTAATTTGAATTCAAATTACCTGCATGACTTTGTAATGCATGCTTTGTCTTTAAAAAAACTATATTTTCTGGTCCTGCTACTAAAAGGAAATAGAAATTATCATCAGTATACTATCAATCAAATCAGTACTCTTTCCACTCAGATTGTCGAATGTTGAAACAGGAAATAGACAAAATGTGCCTGGAACATCATTTAATAACAAAAAGCATGGAATCTATCAGATGATACTTAGATTATTTAAAGTATACATAAGCCAACAGTAATTGGTTCCCCTGACCAACATGAAGACAATTTCAATATAAGTAAAGATGTTGGGATTAAATACTCCATTGTCATTAAATACCAGAATTAAGTGCTCCATTGCTTTCTGGCTTAGTTTCTGATGAGAAGTTGGCTGTAATTCTTATTAATGCAATGTGCCCTTTATTTCTCTGCCTTCATGATTTACTCTTTAACTTTGATCATAAGTAGTTTGACTCTATAAGTCTAGGTATGTGTTTTTATTTATTTAGCTTGGGGTTTTTCAAACTTCTTGTACTCGTGATTGAACATCTCTCACTAATTTTTGGAAAATTCTCTACCATTATCTCTTGAAATATTTCTTCTTCTCTATTATCTCTTTTTCCTTCCTTAAACTCAACTTACCTGTATTTTAGTTCACTTTATATAATCCCATAGCACTAGTATATAGGGTCTAATGTATATATGGACTAATATATAGCCCCATAGCACTAAAGTTCCTGTGTAGTAATTCTGACACGTGGGTCATTTGAGTCTGATTCTGTTTATTGCATTGTCTCTTTACAATGGGTTGCTTTTCCCTATTTTTTTACATGTCTCATAATGTTTTGTCAATTGCCAGACATAAAGTATAGAATAAAAGAGACTAAAGTATATCATATCTATGCCTGGAAATGTCTCTTTTTCTGTCTTGTCAGAGTGAAAGGTTGAGTCAGTCCTGTCAAAGATTGAGTTATGTTTGGGTTTTGTTGTTGCCTTCAATGAACCATGAGCTTCCTATCAAGCCTAGTAAAGGAAGGTATACCAAAAACACAAGTCCAAATTAAAGCATGAGCATTTTGATAATTAGCATTTGATAATAATGAAAAATGAGACTCAAGAGAGATACAGGGACCATACCCCGAGTACACTGTCAGCCACGCTGAAATGTGGACTTTATTTTGCAAGCAAAAATTAAGAGATTTGGATTTTAGAACATCATTCTGGCCTATGGTCTGTATTGAAGGGGGACAATTCAAAGATAGGATGATAAGTGAGAAAGCAGTTGCAACTAACCTTGTACCTGGAATATAAATAAGAAACAAAAAGCACTGGATCTCCAATAGCAAGAGAAGATGTTGTCCCAAACTAGGGTGGTTTCCACAAAAATGAAGTGAACACACTTTTAAGATAATTCAGAGTTAGAAAATAAATCCAAACTCAACATATGATTGGATTTGATGAATTAAAGATGAAGGAAAAATAAAGGTCAAGCAAAACCAGAAGTCCAGTTTTCTGGCTTAAAAAGCTTGTTAATGATGTTTACATAACTGAGATAGAAGAATCATGGAAAAGAAAAAAACCAGGAGACAAAGAACATGACCCCTACTTCAGACAGAGTTTGAACTCTCCGTGGAATATCAAAGTGGAGATGTCAAATAAATCTGGCCTAAAACTCAACAGTTGTGTGCTTGACAGTGATTTGGGAATCATCAACATGTAGATATTAATTACACTCTTGGAAATAGATGAGATAGCCTAGAAAGAGCATGTAAAAGAAAAATACAAGAAAAATTGGCACAGAAACCTCAAAAAAACTGTAAAAACTAGAGAGACAAATGGACTTTAAGATAATCAGACAAAAAAGTTGGAGAAAACCTAAGTTAGTTAAAACTAGGTAATAATATGAATCCAAGACTATTTAAACAAGGAACACATGGCCATATATCAAAGGCAACCATATAGTCAAACTAGATAATGGCTGTATTAGTCTGTTTTCATGCTGCTGATAAAGACATACCCAAGACTGGGCAATTTACAAAAGAAAGATGTTTATTGAACTTACAGTTCCACATGGCTGGGGAGGCTTCACAATCATGGCAGAAGGCAAGGAACACCAAGTCACATCTTACCTGGTTGGCATCAGGCAAAAAGAGAGCTTGTGCAGGAAAACCCCCACCTCATAATAACCATCAGATCTCATGAGACTTAATATCACAAGAACAGCATGGGAAAGACCTCCCCCATGATTCAATTATCCCCCACCAGTTCCCTCCCACAACACATGGGAATTCAAGATAAGATTTGGGTGGGGACACAGCCAAACCATATCAATAGTGTAACATTGTTCCTTGGGATTTAGTACTAAATAATTTATTGGTGATTGAGCAAATGAAACTTCATTGGGTCAAAAAGGGTGAAAGGCAGACTGCAGTGCAGAAGAGATTGTGCAATGAAGATGTAGAGCCAGTGGACTTCTGCTACAAAGTAGAAGAGAGGTAGGGACATGGCTGTAGGTAAACGTGGGAACAATGTCAAGGAGAAGGGGTCAGGACAGAGGAAAAAGTTGAAGATACAGAAAGGCAGAGATAACTGATGAGTCTAGGTCACTGTAGAAGCTAGAGGAGACAGACTGTGAGTATGAGCATAGGGTTTAACTTTAAAATGAAAGAGGAATGACTATTCTATTGACTTAAGAAGGCAGGATTAAGGGTGGATGTCAAGACCAAGCAACATGAGTCTTAGTAGCATGAGCTTAAGGAGTTACAGATGACAGACCCTGTTTTCCCTTTGCCATCAGACGTGGGTCATTTGCTGAGAATGGGAAAACGATGGCGGAGTAGGATATCCACATGAGTGAAGTAAAATTTAGGTGGCTGCTGTAGTGAATGGGAGGGAGGAAACTAGAGGGTTGCAGTGTTGCCGTACAGTTCCTTAACCCAGTAAGGATAGCAATTATGAATTGATAAACATCAACATCTATGCCTTGAAATGTTGGACAATCCAGGTATAGGTTTAACTAAGATGGACAATTAGACTGAACCATGGCTAGGATTTTGACAGGCAAATATGATGAAAGGACAACTGGATTAAATAGTCAATGATATTTTTTGGTGCTGAAGGTGAACTCAAAAGAGCAAGAGGGAGCCAGATATGGAAGGAAGTGAAGAGATAGGGGCCTGATGGAAATAACAACATTCCCATATGCACATAATCACTTTTGTGACAGCTTGTTCATATTATCCATGAAAATACGAAATTATACACACTTTGTATGCTAACTCCCAAAGAAGTTTCTCAGAGTTTCCAACTCTGCTATTCTTTTTTTTTTTTTTTTTTTTTTTTGATACAGAGTTTTGCTCTGTTGCCCAGGCTGGAGTGCGGTGGCACAATCTCGACTCACTGCAACCTCCACCTCCTGGGTTCAAGCTATTCTCCTGCCTCAGCCTCCCAAGTAGCTGAGATTACAGGCATGCGCCACCACACCCAGCTGATTTTTATATTTTTAGTAGAGACGGGGCCTCACCATGTTCGCCAGACTGGTCTAGAACTCCTGACCTCAGGTGATCTGCCTGCCTCAACCTCCCAAAGTGCTGGGATTACAGGCATGAGCCACTGCTCCCGGCCCAACTCTGTTATTCAATAGATGTATGTTCTTCATCAAGTCATTAAATCAGGACAATAATCCTTAGGATTATGCATACATGAAAGTATCCTATAAACTATCATTGTGACACCACTGATCAAAAATACAGAAATGTATGGCAATTTTATAAAGATACTAAACAAGTTAATTCCCTTTCTCAGGGCATGATCAAGTTGAGACAAGCGTAGCTGAAAGAGCTACAAACCTTTCCACAGAATTTAAGGTCATGCTACATGGACTTTAGTGATATAAAGCAGAAGTAAAGTCTACAACCTTGTCATATACTCATTATAAACTGCTTCTTAGACTATCAAACAGTTCAGCTTGGTATTTATTTTTCATTTGATCATCTGAAAATATACATATTGGTAATTTTTTTACTTGCCCGATACATCCCTTAAATAATAAATAACACTTTGAATCACTCCATCCTACTGTATAGGGAAATGGAGCTTTGTGATAAGCGCAGAATTCAGATCATTGTATCTGTCAGAATTCAAGGTTTAAGTTGCAAATTCAAAGACTTTCCACAGAAGAAAACTTACCTGTCTATAAGTATGCAAGAATAAATGCACAGAAGATACTGTAACACAAAATCCAAATACACAATTTAACTTAAAATACAACAACAACAGGCTATCAAAATCATATACCCTATGGCTTCATTTTACCTAGGGTGTTTTAATTTCTTACTTTGGAGGAAAAGAAAAACAAAAACAAGATCCAATGGACATATGTCTCACAGTATTAAAGTTCAAAATCATAAAAGTTTTATGTGGATTTATATCTCTGTTTTAGAGAAAAGTTTTGTTCTAGCTTGAGAAGAAACAGTTTGAGTAAATATTCTTTTTAGTAAGCTCAAGGCCTCAGTTGTATTATAATCGTAATACTAGGATATTATAATATCTGTCTGCCACTCAGACCCTAGAGAGCAGAAGTCAACCATACTTTAGTTAGAAAGTGTTGAAGCTACCATGTATTTTCCATCTCTTGTTTCTCAACACAAGCCAAAGCACTAAGGATTGCTTTGAGTGTACATGTAAAGGTCTGCAGTGGAAAAGTCAACGCAACCAGGTTTCTACCTATTTAAGCTACGGGGGCCTGGTTCCAGCATAGGAGCCCCTGGATAATTGTTACAAATGAAAAAAATATAGGGAAAAGTATTTCAATACATCCCAATAGCAATTCTTAAGGGATAATATCCAATGTTGGGCACTCTTATCAGCAGTCGTTTTGCCCTGTCTCATTCAAAGACTCTGTCCTTTGACTCTAGAGACTTCCTGTATCCATTTAAAGGCATGGCTCACCAGGAGTCATCATCATCGTTTCCAATTATTTCCCTGGGGCCTCAATGTTGCGACACTGGTTTTGATACTTCAAGAGGTAGTACATTTATATGTGGTTTTTGTTAGGGTTTCCATGACGATATTGAAGATTCCCTAATGCATTTTCATGGATAATCTAATAGCATCATGAAATGGACTCTTAGTATAATAACACAGATTTCAACCAGCTCCATAAAAGCAGCTCAATGACGGCAATAGTCTGAAACCTTGATAGTGAACTGCCCCACAATGCTGAGTTTCAGAAACAAAGCTGTCATTAAAAAAAGAGCGTTCATTCTTATTTCTAGCTGGCTCAATAGAAGTCACAAGGGAGTTGCTGCATGCAGGTTTGGTGCAGAAAAACAAACAAATACATCACCTCTGTTCAGTGAATTCCTCCTTGACGTATCAAAGTAGACACTGACTACCAGGACTACATCATAAACAACCCTTTTCTGTTGCTAAAAGAAAAAATAATACTATTTGAAAGACGAAGGTAGTGTGTGGATGTGAGACCTTGGTACTATAAAGACAGTTGTCAGACCTAAATTTAAGTAACAACAGTGATGAGAGTAAAGTGCTGATAAAATGGGCAAAATTGATGGTGATATAAATACACGGAGAATAAGTAAATAAGCAAGAAACCAGTTATCAATAAAATATGATCCCAGAAGAAATATACATAATATTCTCTTATAAATTTTTTTTTCAGGACCTGTGACGTTATCAACTAGGCTTTTCTAATTATTGCATTTATTTATCTTTTCATATTTTTCATAATCAAATATGCCAGGTTTTTTTTCCTAAAGGCCCATATTTGGGGACCACATTTATCCTTTTGATAATATACATTTTCTATTTTATTAATTTTATCTATTACATCACTAATTATTATTACCTTCATTCTTTCAGTATGCTGTACCATGCTTTTTCTAGTTTAAGTTAGTCATTATCTTTAGTATGAGGCCTTTAAAACTAATAATTTTATCTGTACAAAACAATGGCTACGTCACCTAAGCTATAATGTAAGCTTGCCTTTCAGTATTTGTCTACCTAGATAATTTGACGTTTTTAATTGCTTTAACTGAAAGTTTGTGTTTTTTAAATTACTAGTAGCTAAGATTCTACAACAATTTTACTATTGATTTCTAGCTCTATTGGCTATGATTAGAAACATGACCTGTAAAACCTCTACATTTTTAATATTATGATATTCATTTTGATAATTGCACATACCTGTGAACCAAAAACTGTTTGCTTTTTGCATATAGGCTAAAATGTTTAATACATATTGCTTTGAGCTTTTAATTGCATAATTTAAATCCAAGTTAACCTGGGTTTTTTACTGAATTTATCACTAATATTTTTCTAATGAGTTATATTAAAACCAACTACTATAATTTTACCTGGCCCAAGTCAGTCTTATTTTTTAGAATTTTGTCATTTGTTTGGTGCATTTAAATCATACTATTTTAATTAGACTATTAATTTTTCTATATTTTTGTCCATTTTATATTTTAACCTCCTATGAGAGTCTCTTAATTGTGTTATGGAAATTCAGTCAGTACTTTTTGTGTATTGTGAAAATTTACATACTTGGTTTTATTCTTATTTAATCTCATTTGATCTGTTTCTCTCATTACTGTCCTATATATCTCATTACTGTTTCTGGATATCTCAATTTTTTTCATATTCTTCTCTACCTTCACCACCCACACACCTGGTTACTTTTGAAAGATAACCATACTTCTCAGCATTGCTATTAGTTACATACGCATTCCTAATGGCTATGATGAAACTACATTTCTCTATGAATGAATATAGATTTAGGAGCCATAGTGCCAACCAAGACAGTTTACTTGCTCTCTTGCCTTTCCCTGGCACCAAATGAAAACATTAGAATTATATATATATACTTTAAGTTCTGGTATACATACGCAGAACGTTCAGGTTGGTTACGTAGGTATATATGTATCATGGTGGTTGGCTGCACCCATAAACCCGTCATCTACTTTAGGTATTTCTCCTAATACTATCCCTCCCCTTGCCCCCCACCCCCCAACAGGCCCCGGTGTGTGATGTTCCCCTCCCTGCATCCACGTGTTCTCATTGTTCAACCCCCACTTATGAGTGAGAACATGTGGTGTTTGGTTTTCTGTTCCTGTTTTAGTGTACTGAGAATGATGGTTTCTAGCTTCATCCCTGTCCCTGCAAAGGACAGCAACTCATCTTTTTTATGGCTACATAGTATTCCATGGTATATATGTGCCACATTTTCTTTATCCAGCCTATCACTGATGGGCATTTGGGTTGGTCCCTGGTCTTTGCTATTTTGAATAGTGCTGCAATAAACATATGTGTGCAGAAAACATTAGAATGTTTTTACCCCCAGGCTGTCACCATGTGGGTGACAGTACAGTCCCGCCAGAATAGACCTCTGGACTATGGTTCTCTCAGGCATCTCACCCACCACCTCTCGAGTTTTGCTGAGATGGTTTTAAAACTTTAGATCTAATCTCTTGGTTTTGTCTTTTAGATTTTCTTATTTCAAATATACTTAATATGTTTATTATACACACACGTGTGTATATGTGCATGTGTGTATCTATATCCAAGTCATATTATCCTCATCACTTTAGATGACTCAACCCATTTTCACTATACTTGAATAACTTATATGGAACATATGAATGTACCAACTGAATCCCACATTCTCCAAATATATATATATATTTTGGACTAAGAAAATAATGATTCCTTGGCTGTATGTAGGATCCTTTGAGTTCTGTCATTAAGCTACATAATAAACCACATGCTGTTCTCATATTTTCCACTTGATATTTAGGACCTTTAATTTCAATGCTATTTGGGAGCCACTAAGCCTTTTTTAATTTTAGATTTAAGTCTTTCTTCCACTCAGGGAAAAGTTCTATTGTTTCTTTCATTAACATCTATTCTCTATTTATTCCCTTTTCCTTTTAATCATCAGCCAAATACCTTTCACCTCTCATTTCCATTTATTTTTGTCTGTGTTAGATATTCACTCCATTTGGCTTTCCAAAATAATATTTTAATTATTTTAATAAGTTGTAAAATTCAGAAAGTAAGTTTTGCTGTTGTTGATCTACTTTGTCTACTTGAAAGTTTCTTTTTTTTCTGTGTTAATGCTCTGTGTTACTTCTCCATCGTTTTTCCCTCCAAACGAATCATCTCATTTAACTATTCAATGTGGCCATCCTAAGTAACATTAAATTAGTAACATGCGGCGGATCACGAGATCAGGAGATCGAGACCACCCTGGCTTACAGAAACCCCGTCTCTACTAAAAAATAGAAAAAATTAGCCGGGCGTGATGGCGGGCACCTGTAGTCCCAGCTACTCGGGAGGCTGAGGCAGGAGAACGGCGTAAACCCGGGAGGCGGAGCTTGCAGTGAGCCGAGATCGCGCCACTACACCTCCAGCCTGGGCGACAGAGCGAGACTCTGTCTCAAAAAAAAAAAAAAAATTAGTAACATGCAACCCCAGCTGTGTATCAGAAGCACAGGAGAAGATTGTGAGATATGCTGATGCTTGGACCACATCCCCAGCTCTCTTCTAAAACATCTGCCCTCTTCTCCCAGCAAAGGCAAGGCCTGGGTCATGGGCCCAGATAATTAAGTCCCTTGAAGACCCTTCAGAGACATCTTAGGAAATCTCACCACCAGAGACAACACACCCTCCAGGCTCCCTCTGTGTGCACCGCGTGGATCCTGAGTGGGAGTTCTCACAAAGGAGGGGTCAGATGTGTGTTTCAGGCCACTGTCTTTCCAGAATCCTGCTCCTTGGGTGTGGCTGTGCATGCCACATGCCACAGACCATGTCCTACCCAAACGTATTCAACAAATCCTTTCTTTTGGACTAAAATATAGAGTTATATATTCTTTTTTTTAATTGACAAGTAAAAATTGTATGTATTTGTGGAGTACTACATGATGTTTTGATACCTGTATACATTGTGAAATGGCTAAATCAAGCTATTTAACATGCATATTACCTCACATACTTATTTTTGTGGTGAGAACACTTTAATAAATCTAGTGTCTTAGTGATTATCCATAAATCTTTGATTATAAATTAGATGTGAGTCATTCCTATCCTACAGTCCCTGAATCCTGGAAAATCTTCCAATTCCAAAGTGATATAGGGATTGTTTTACAAATTAATTTAGATTACAAATCAGGCTGGGTACAGTGGCTCAGGCCCATAATCCCAGCACTTTAGGAGACCAAGGCAGGAGGATCACTCGAGGTCAGGAGTTCAAGACCAGCCTAGTCAATATGGCAAAAATCCCAAAAATTAGCCGGGTATGGTGGCACACGCCTGTAATCCTAGCTACTTGGGAGGCTGAAGCAGGAGAAACACTTAAACCTGGGAGGCAGAAGTTGTAGTGAGCCAAGGTCATGCCACTGCACTCCAGCCTGGGTGAGAACGAGACTCTGTCTCAAAAGAAAAAAAAAAGAGAGAGATTACAAACCAATACTGATAGTTCTTTGCTTATCCTTTCGCTTCTTATTATAAAATATATTTTTTTCTGTTTATGTGTTGGTAATCTCCACTCTGTGAGATTGTCTTAACCATTGTTAAATTCCCGAAGTCCTTCATGACACTACACATGAGTGATCAATTGTATTTTCCATTGAACACCTCCTCTTAGAGTCATTGAAGAATTTAGTAAGACAGTACATGTAAAATGCTTAACATTTTTTGCACAGCTTAAATAATAATAAACTGGAGCCCTTGTTTTACTTGAATCAAATTCCTACTTCTTTCCAACAGACCTAAGCATTTCATACCATTTTCTCTTTGCTATCCCATCATCCCTTTCACTGATGATGATCATGGAGAGTTAATATTCAATATATATTCATCGTATTTCACAGTAATCCTCTATATTCTCTTCCTAGCTCCTTCTCAGTATACTTTGTATAAGTGTAATATAGTTATTTAAGAAGAGAAAAACACTTTGCAGTTCCTTGCCAATTATTTTTACAGTGGTCCCTAAATCTCCTAGATATTAAAAAAGAATGTCAGATTAAACTACGTTGTACACATGCCACACATGAACTTTTCTATAGTGATGATGCAGAATGTCAATAGCACCAAGGTTGAGAGTAATTAGGTAATTCACAAAGCTGACTCTAAAGGATAATAAACTACTCTAAAACTTCCTTCTGTTCACATCTTCCTGAGCTAAGCAATGTGGGATTTAAAAAATTAAAATGAAAATAAACTATATACAATATTTTTACTGATTTTCTGCCTGTTAACATCTCAATAGAAATCTTACAGGAAGTAAAAAAGGTGGCTCGATTTATTGATATTCAAAATATCTCTCTGGCACTTTGTGATAATTATATGAACTACTAATGGCATTTAAATCTTATTTAGTCATTGGACTTCTTTAGAGATGTAGCTCCAGAATCCAAAGTGCTTTATGAAGAATTGATAAGCCCCATTATTCAGAAAGAAACAAAAGAATTCGTTTAATTGTGCATAACTGTAACAAAAGAATTCATTTAATTGTGCTTAACTGTGTACTTATGTTTCTGCCTGTATTTATGAAGGAAGGAGGACAGAATTCCACTAAGTGTAATATCAGCAGCAGCAATAGCAGCAGGATTATCATCATAAAGTAATAATACCATCATTTATTGAGCTCCTATGATATGCCCGACATCATTCTATGTAGTCCTATCACAATAACCATAGCACAATGACCCTATAAGCCAATGATTATCAATTACATTTTACAGATAAGGAAACTGAGGCTCAGAGTTTTAGTAACTTGCCCAACATTGCGTAACTACCAAGTACTAGAGCCTCTGTTTAAAGTCAGGTCCAACTCCAGCACTTTCCACTGGCTCAGCTAACACATGTCTATGTATACAAGACATCTTTAATGTCCCTACAGCTGTGGCAACTAAAAAAACTTACAATCTGTAACTCTCTTTCTATCAAAAGTTTCCATGCAGAGATGCCCAAGCTTGTCTAGGCTACTGTGAAAGAGGTGCCTCCTACTAGGCATACCTGGAATAACAGGGAGGGAAGAAAGGAAGGGGCGGCTAATGGAAGGAAATGTGTGAGAAGTAGGAAGTGCTGTCAAAGAAAAACAACTTTTTTTTTTCACAACTTCAAAATAACTTCAACTAGCCCAAAAGTTTTGCCCATCTAAAACCACACTGGTATAACATACCATTAGCACATCAGTTTCTGGTAATTGCTTCCAAAGAGTTCAAAATCATTTATATTTTTAAGTCATTCAATATTCTCATTGCAGGATTGACTGAATCAATAATTTGCTCTAGAAATTTTCTTTATATGGTTGGTACAAAGCTCACCTGTTTGCAAACTCCTGTCTAAAGGATCACACATTTCAAGTCATCAGATTTGGAAATAATGAATTTGGGAAGGAAATGATATCCAATTCTACTTTTGGATCATTTGGGAGCTCCTAAAAATGTTGACTGGAAAATCAAGGTTCTTATGACATATCTTGTTTATAAAGTTGGTGGTGTTGGGCAAAGGCTGAGCCTCTGAAACCAAGTGTTTGTTACCTGAACAGTCAGTTGCTTTGATTGGGACTTAACTTACATTTAAGTTAAGTGCTGCAATCACCCATATAACATGTAAATTGTCATCATGGAGAATGATCCTTTGTGCCCTTCCTAGACAATGTTTTCTACTCCAAGAATTAGTAACTCTTCAGTCTTCTTCCCTCAATTACTGTTGATTAGTTTTGGCTGTTCTTGAACTTCATATAAATGGAGTCATACAGGATGACCAGATTCATGACTGCACTCCTGAGCACATTATTGTATTTGTGAGATTCTTCCATTTTGTTCTGCACAGCAAACAGTTTATTCTTCTGTGTTATATTCCCTTATATGAATATACCACAATGTGTCTATTCTCCTGTTAGACTTTCTAGATTTAAGGTGTAATGAATAAAACTGCTGTAGATAATTTGTACTCATCTTTGGGGGAACTCAGTTCTCTGTGGTGTATACCTATGAACGGGTTTGTTGGAACATAGGGTAGGCATAAGTTTAGCTTTAATAGATACAACAATTTTGGAAACTATATGGAAGTATCAATTTATTCTCCTTGAGATTTGTTTTATGGCTCACCATCTATCTCTTGAAAGCTCCATGTCACTTGAAAATAATATGTATTCTAGTTATAGGATGTCATGCTTTATAAATGTCAGTAAGATCAAGGAGGTTGATAGTGCTAATCATAACTTCTACTCTTTGACCAATATTTTAATGTAGTTGTTGTTATAAATTGCTGAGAGGACATGTGAATATTTCTATGTGTAATTTTCTATTTTCTTTGTAATTCTATTTTTGCTTCATAGAATCTGAAGTTCTAGAGTTAGGCACATATATATTAATTATTATTATGTCTTTGTAATGAATAGAATTCTTCATTTAAAAACATCCCTCTTTATCTATAGCATTCTTCCTTGTCTTGAGGTTTACCTTGTCTGATGTTAATATAGCTGTTCTTTTTCATGTTTATTGTTTGCATGGTGTATCATTTTTTCATCCTTTTGTTATCACTCTTCCTCTGATTTAATTATAACAGAATGTCTCTGTAGACAGTATTTAATTAGATCTTCCTTTTTTCCTACTATCTGATAATTCTAATGTTTCAACTGGCATATTCACCTCATTTACATTAAATATAACGTTAGCCTAAGTTTGATTTTGGCTTATCATTTTACTATTTGATTTCTAATTGTCCCATCTGTTTCTCTCTTCTCTGTCTCTTCTGCCTCATTTTGAGTTAATCAAATATTTTTGGTACTTCTTTTAATTTCCTTTATTGGCATTTTTGCTATGTATCTTTGCATCTTTTTCATAATAACTTAGAGGTTACATTATGAATAATAAAATTTTAATTATAATGTTAATATTACACCATCTCACAGGAAATGCATGAATGTTCAATAGTATATGTCTACTAACCTCAAATCACTACTCTTTGTGAGGTTTTTGTGATACATATTCCATCTTCATACTTTATAAACTGAAAAATTTAGAGTTGTAATTTTTGCTTCACACAAATATTGAAAAATGCCATTGTCTCTTACACAAAACACAATAGTATCTTCTCAGCTGATTTTCCACTTTCATTCTAGTCCCCACTTTTAAGTCATATTTTATACAACAGCCAGAAATGTTTGCTTTCAAATGTAAATTGGATGGTGCCACCTGTCCCAAGCTTAATTTGCATCAAGGGCTTCCTAGGATGAAATAAAAACTCCTGGAAGTGGCTTCATATTAGTCTGATAGGATTGCCATAACGAAATACTACATTTAAGACTGCGTGGCTCAAACAACAGATATTTATTTTCTCGCAGTTCTGGAAGCCAGAGGTACATGATCAAGGTGCTGGTAAATTCAATTTCTGATGAGACTTCTCTTTGTGGCTTGCAGATAGCCACGTTCTCACTGTTTTCTCACATTGTCTTTCTTTTGTGAGTATGAAGAGAGAATGAGAGGGCTCTCTCTTGTCTCTTCCTCTTCTTATAAGGAAACCAGACCTACAGGATTAGGACCACCTGCTTCTGGCCTCACTTAAGCTCAGTTACCTTCTTATAGACCCTGTTTCCAGAAGCAGTCAGAGATTAGGGCTTTAACATATGAGTTGGGGGATGGCAGACACAATTCAGTCCCCAACAGACCTAAAATCATGTGGCCTGAGCCTAAGGAAGAATGGGTCTGTCTCACTTGTACACAACACAACACACAGGCACAAACACAACAGCTTGTGCCTATTAAAGAGCCTGTATCAATACAGGACGGACCACACTAGACCTATCTGTGTATGTGTAACTTTTATTGACTCTCAGATTCTGCCTCTTCAAGTAATTTATATGCTGGAAAAAATGAAATCATATTTTGAACAAGTAAAATTACAATACAACTTAAACCTAAGCAATGATCCAGGCACCGCCAGACAGAACGAATGTCCCTGAGTGCTTACGTTACATCTGTGTGTGAGGCCTGAGTACACTTACAATTTTGCACATTCAGGAGGACTTTCAATGCAAAATCTTAATGTAAAACTAGAAGATACACAGGATCCCCAGAAAGAAGACCAAAGAGAAGGAGAAATAATGAACTAAAAGTAAGTTTTGTAGAAGATTCAATTAACTATGGAGATAAAAAGCAAAGGAATTGGTACAAACTTAACCTAATTGCTAGGTATCTCAAGAAGTCTGAGTGATTACAATGAATATATTTACATATGACATTTACCCAGAAACAAGAAGAGGAATCATTCACTATCAAAATTTGCAAATGATTTTTCAAAACACCTCAACAAAAAGCCTGTGTCTCATACCTCCTAGGCCTGTCTGAAAATGAAAAGCTCCATTCTGTGATAATAAATAACAATTCTGGCTATTGTGCACATGTGCCCTTTTATTCATTATTTTAATCTGGATGTTTGCCTAAATTGTCAATAATGCTTGTTTTCAAGATGTAAGGGCAAATGTAGCATTGCTTTATTCCACCTACCCAAATGAGACGTCTCTTGATCTGTAACCATTTGTATCCATTTTCTATTGCTGCTCTAACAAATTACACAGCAAATAAAGGGACTTACAGTTTTGTAGGTCCGAAGTCTTATGCAGGTCTCACCAGGCTACAGTAAAGGTTTTGGAAGAGCTGTGTTCTTTTCCGGAGGCTGGACAGATTTCTCCTTGCTCATACAGGTTGTTGGTGGAATTCACTTCCTTAGGTTGTAGAACTAAGATCTCCGTTCCCTTACTGGCAGTCAGCTATAAGCTGTTCCCAGTCTCTGTAGGATACCCACATTCCTTGGCTGGTCTACCCCTTCCTCCATCTCTAAAGACAGTAATAGCAAATCCCTCTCACACCTCGAATTTCTCCCCCTGTTTTTATTGCACCTCTTTATGACAAAACCAGGAAAAGGTGTTTCACTTTTAAGGCTGGGTGTGATTAGATTAGATGCCCCTGTGTAATCCAGGCTTCTCTCCTTCACTCAAGGTGCATCCCCTTGATCACACCTTCAAAGTTCCCTTTGCCATGGATGGTAACTTATTCACAGGTTCCAGGGATCAGGGTGTGAACATCTTTGGAGAGTCATTATTCTGCCTGCCACACAATTACGAGAAGGACTTTGTGTCTACATATAGGGCATCTCACTGCTGCAGCATTTTCAGACTCTCTCCTCTCCTTTCCCCTGGTTGTATGCAGATTGCTCCAAAGTAAAGAGCACTCTGCAAACAATTCTGTCCATTATTATGCACAGAAAATCAGTGTAAATCCACAAGGGCTATCATTTTCCCCTGTACTGTCTTTTTAGCCTCTCAAATTTGGCAGACATCTGAATGGTGTGACTTAGTCCCTGTTCCTCCAGGAAGATCAGCCCTTGTCACCCCTGCAGCTGTCAATCCTCCTCAAAGGGTCCAATTCTATGCTTCTATTTTGTCACAAAGTAAAAAAAGTGAGAGAACACAGCAATAACTCTTTGTGTTGATTACTTCCAGGAAAGGTGCTTCAAAAACAACTTCAATTCATGCCAAATAATTTTAATGAAAGAAGGAATGAATGAATGAACATTATGAAGGGAGTGGAGAGGAGAATGGAAGATTCATCTTTAAAGTAAAATAGGTTTTAAATAAACAATTTGTTACCTGTTCTTCTACCACTTGAATTGCTATTAAAATTGTATGCAAAGATTTTGTTTTCATGTTAAGAAACAGAGCTAAGCCGGGCTTGGTGGCTCACACCTGTAATCCCAGGACTTTGGGAGGCCAAGGTGGGCGGATCATAAAGTCAGGGGTTCGAGACAAGCCTGGCCAACATGGTGAAACACCGTCTCTACTAAAAATACAAAAATTAGCTGGGTGTGATGGCGGGCACCTGTAGTGCCAGCTACTTGGGAGGCTGAGGCAGGAGAATCGCTTGAACCTGGGAGGCAGAGGTTGCAGTGAGCCAAGATTGTGCCATTTCACTCCAGCCTGGGTGACAGAGCAAGGCTACATCTCAAAAAAAAAGAAAGAGCTAATAGATACCCTTTCTTATGTCTGAGTTCTTTCTAGCTATATATAAAAATGAACATTGTAATTCAGTTAAATTACAGAAAATGAGTTCAATATGTATCCCTTTAGGTTGGAGCAATCTGCATACAACCAAGGGCATGGAAAAAGGGGGAAATGTCTCATTTCCACAATTGTGACCTCATTTTCTTAGTGTTTGTGGCTTTGCCTACATCTGCTCCATATGGTGGTGCTATTTAGTATATAACTTGCAAACTCAGAAACTGTGTTTAAACTAAGATGTTCCTATAACTAAGGTGTTCACCTGTCACCAAGATTACCTTTCCTTTTTTTTCTCCCTGGCAGTTTTTATTTGACATACTGTATAATAAAATCACATACTTGCTTACTAATAAAAGTATTGCCATTCCATTCACACTTATAGAATTGGTAGCTATATTGGCAGATAACAAAGGGAAGTTCCCCATCCTTGGATGTAGCATCAGCTTTGCAGATCATGCAGTATGGATAAAATAGTATTGACATAACAAAGTCAAGACAAGGGCTATGACATTCATTTTGAAGGAATCATTATTCTTAGGAGGTTTTATTTGACTCCTTCACCTTCCTTTCCACCTTAGGGGAAAAAATGTTTATTTAATTTTTTTTTGATTGTTCACATATCTTCCATTGTTCAGTTCAATTTTCTCCCCTCAGGTGAACCGAACATAGCAACAGGAAAGACCTGGTAATGATGTGACAATTCTGAGTAAAGCAGCCACGAGAAAGTAGTCGGTATGTGTTTTTCAGACACACGCTCACAGACTGACCTCCCTGCCTGATTAGGCTGCAGTGGGAACAACTGCAGGTGCAGTCACCCCTGACAAAGAAGGCAGACTTGTATTAAATGTTCTACCTTAAATAAATGCCCAGGAAAAATGAGTAGCTACCTCCAAACCAAGCTGTAATACTGTGGGAAAGCTCAGAAGCCATGGACTTTCATCTCAGATAAGCCGATGGCCCTGTGGCCTGGAGTAAGTTCTGAAATTCTCAGTCCTTGTTACTTATCTGCATAATGAACATTCTCCGGTAGAAGAATTATAAGCTTCCTTCTGGCCAGAACATCCTATAATTTTAGTTATTAGAATGTAATGGCCATCCTCCGATGAAATAAAATATGCTCGGAATTCAAAGGCACAACGAAGGGATCACAACCTAATAGGGAAACTGGTTATGTTTTCTAGGTAGTATCTTGAAGTCCAGTCCACACCTGCATCTCAAGAACAAAGAGAATGGCTGAAGAGGAAAGCCCTATTGCAGCCTCTCATCCATTCTATAGATAAAAGGAAAACCTGAGGGCGGCAGACAGTTGATGTCCCTTCCCAAACAGCCTCAGGAATGAATATTTAACTCACCTTGCCCATCATTTGTTGAACTCCCTATGCAATAATGTGCTGGCTGGTACAACCACAATGAGAAATTAGGCAACAGTCTTAATATTAAGATTAATCTAATTAAGATACGAGGGAAACATTTTAAAAAGACTACTTGTAATACAATACTCTAAGGATGATCATTAATAACTGCTGGCACAAGTAGTGTAGGGATCAAATGTACATTATTTTGACACAATGTCTGCATTTCCAAGGAAATAGTATCTGTGTACTAAACCCATGCAGTGAGAGAAGATAAAATTAACTGCCTCTGAATAGCTGACATTGAAACAGGACTGAGCTTTTGTGCTAAATAAAGACTTCTATTTGTCCACTCTTTATACATAAGGTAAAAATCATGATGGAATGTAAAGGGAAATAAAAGTTAATGATTTTGGAACAAAGCTGCATGATGCAAGTGCTCCATTGGGAATAAACAGACCAGGAGCAAGTTGGAGGGTTCTGTGAGATGAAGGTCAGTTTCCAGTCCATTCTGCAGAATCAATACAGTTCCTTGGACTTGCAATAGGTCTCATAAGTCATAGATTGACTGGGCCATGTATCAACTTCCACAATGCATAGCTCTCAATGCCTCTCATTGGCAAGCATTGCTGAGCAAAAATCTGTGATTAGAATTTGCAGCTGGAGTGGAATGCAGCCCACATATAGACTGGCAGGGAAACTAGAGTGGACAACCAACAGCAAGTAAAGTACCATCACTTTCAGAAGACCGTATGTCAATTCCGCAATTGATTTCCAAAGACAAAACTGAAATTGCCATCAGCGGGCTTCTCTGAACATCCATTTCATAGATGAGGTTTGTCTCAATGAAACTGACATTATGCACAACTCCACAGGTCCAGAGAAGCATATTAATGTCCAGCCTTCTTTTTGATAATGTTTTCTCATGAAAAAATATTTGAAGAAATAAGGTAAGAAACAAAGAAAAGGAACAATAAGTGCCAGGAAATATCATTTATTCCCCATAGTTTGACTGAGTCAGGCACTCTTCCAGGTGCTAATAGTAAGTTAAAAAGGAACTGAACAATGAGATCACATGGACACAGGAAGGGGAATATCACACTCTGGGGACTGTGGTGGGGTGGGGGGAGGGGGGAGGGATAGCATTGGGAGATATACCTAATGCTAGATGACGAGTTAGTGGGTGCAGCGCAGCAGCATGGCACATGTATACATATGTAACTAACCTGCACAATGTGCACATGTACCCTAAAACTTAAAGTATAATAAAAAAAAAAAGAAAGAAAGTAAAAAATCCCTGCTTTTTTACGTAGAGCTCAGGAGATGGAAAGCAAACAAATAAATCAGCACGTCATAGATGATACGTGAGAAGGTGACAAGCACAAGAAAGAAAACAAAGCAGGGAGGACAAAGGTCATATTTAAGGGAGTGGAGCTTTATCAGTTTTCATTGCTCTGAAAGTGCTCACTGCCCCGGCAAAATAAATTGCTTCGCCCCAATTTTTGTTTGCAGTTTGACCTCTTTGGGCTAGCAATCAAAATCCATGCAAAGTAGGTATGCTTGGGAAACAATACCCAATCCCCTGTCTCCATTTAGCAATTGATCTGATGGGCCAGAAAAAAAAAAACAACAAAAAAAAACAACTCTGAACTCTGATTGTAATCATAGATAACATTGACATCACACTTTCTAGGATCCAGCCATCATCCTAAGTGCTTACATATGTTAACTAATTTAATCTTCATGTCTCTTCAATTAGGTATGTTTAGTTTCATCCTTAATTTTCAGATGAGAAGGCCAGGACAATCAAGTTCAATCTGTGAAGAGTAGAGTTGAGATTTGAATCTAGATGGTCTGGCTTCCAGAGACTGTGCTCTTAGCTGTCAGTGTACAACTTTTACCAATGCTCTGGTCACCTAAGTGATGCTGATCTCCAGCCTTGTCCCTGCATCTCATATTCTACCTGACATCTCCATTTGGACAGCTAATGGGCAACATGAGACTAATGCATTCAAAACAAAAACTTTGATCTTTAATACATCCCTCCCCACCCCACCCCCGATTACTTTTCCTCCTCTGCACACCTGCTCCTTGCCCAGGCTTCCAGAAGTGTCTTAATTACGAGGACACCATTCACATAGCTGCTCAAGCTCAAAGCTTAAGGCTTGACTTTTCTGTTTCTCTCACATTCATCATCTGATTTGTTTAAAAATCCTCCAAAATATTCTTCAAATCCAACACCCTCTGATCAAATTCAGGCCACTGCCAGGTCACACCTACGAGACAGGAGCAGTCTTCTAGCTGGTTTTCCCACTTCCTTCTTTTCACCAAGAGTCTGTTATCCCTGCTAGCAATCTGTGTGATAATTTAAAAATGTTAATCAGATCATATTATGCCCTGCTCTGATCACTCTGATAGCTTTTATATTAGTCAGGATTCTTCAGAGACACAGAACCAATCAGATGTATATATGCAGAAAGAGATTTATTTTAAGGAATTGGCTCACACAATTGTGGGGGCAGGCAAGTCCAAAATCCACAAGACAGGCTAGCAGCCTGGAAATTCTGCCAAGAGATTTTGTAGTCTTGAGTTTGAAGGCTGGAAACTCAGGCAGAATTTCGATGATGCAGTCTGGAGGCAGAATTCCTTCCTCTTTGAGAGACCTCTGTCTTTTCTCTTATGGCCTTCAAATGATTGGATAAGGCTCACCAACATTATGGAAGGTAATCTTCTTTACTCAAAGTCTGCTGATTTAAATGTAAAAAAATACCTGCACAGCAACATCTAGACTGCTGTTTGACCAAGCAACTGGGCACCAAGCCTAGCAAAGTTGACACACAAAATTAATCATCACAGCTTCTTATAACATTGAGTATAAACTCCATTTCCTCTGGGCATCATTCTATCCTTCATTCTATAGAGAAAGGTCCTTTCTCACCTTCTCCAATCTCTGGGTCACCTGGCCTTCTTGTTGTTCTGGGTACATGACATGCTCCTTTCTATCTGCAAAAAAGGTCTTTTTCTGCTGTTTCTTTTACCTGTAATACTCTTCCTCCAGACCTCCACATGGCTCCCTCTCTTGCTTAATTTGGATCTCTGCTTTCTTGTCACCTCCTCAAAGAGGCCACACCTGACAAGCTTATCACAAACAGGCCAGGCCCCTTGCTTGCTTGCTAGACCCGCTCTCAATCTGCCATCATAGTACTTACCAGTGCCTGGAAGCACATCATTTGTTTGCTATCTCCCCGTCGCCACTAGAAAATTAGCTCCAGTTTTGTTTGTTGTCCAGAAAAATCATTTCTGCTGTATTGTAGGTGTTCAATGAATGGAGCTGAATGAATGAATGAATATTTTTTTAATCATACTGTAGAAAGGAACTGTGGAAATATTAAGAAATCTTAGAATCTCTTTTTAAATACTCACAATAATAAATGAATTTATAAGTGATACTTCTTATTTGACACAACTTATACTCCATGCAACATTTTTTAAATATTTTTTCTTGTTTTTTTCTGTCTATGGCTCTTGCTAATTTTTTGTGTGTGATTTTTTAAAATGTTCTCCTCCTGGAACATTAAACCTGGATCAACCCACTGAATAAAAACATGCTGCACTGAATAACCACCTTTTTAAAAAACAGTAACCTCCCCTCCACCACAGAACTTTGATCTCCAGGCTAACTATATTATAGCTCAGTCCATACCACACTCACCTCTTTCTTCATCCAGGTATTGTGAATTGTCGTAGCTCATTACATAGTGAAAAGACAGCATTCAAACTGGGACCAGTATTTAGACAGAAGGATGAAAAAATTAGTGGAGCCAATAATAAAACTTATTCATAGAGTGACTGATAGCTAATGTTCATTGTTTTCCAGGAAATTGCTCATCACTCATTTTAACGAGCGATCCGAGAGGATTTTGAATGTTCTTAATTCCAGTTTGCAAATTAGGTAACCAAGAAAAAAAATTATTCTCTCAAATTCTGCACTAAGTCAAAGAAATATCTTCTGGAATTTGAGGGAAATTAATGCAAATTTATTGTTCCACTCCTCTGTGTTTGGCAGAAAAGGCCATCACTTGGCATTTTATATGCTGTATGTTACTTTTTCCCTGCAATAAACAGAGATCCAGAGAGTTCAGTATCCACTTGTGGTTACAAGAATAGTCCTTTGCAGAGGTAAAATTGAAACACAGAGTGTTCTGACAAGAAGGCTGTGTCCTTCTCAGTCGCCTGGCTGCCCTGGTGTAGAATCCCGAAGATTCCAGGAACTCAACACAACGTCATAGGTGGATGCTGGATACATGGCTTAAAACTACAACCTCTTGTTCTCAGAAACATTTCCAGAAGGGTTTTCACTACCAGTCTATACTGCAAGAATCTCTAGTATCCAGCGAGGCCCTCAGATTCTACCTCTGTAAGCTGTGTGATGAGTGAGACAGTGTAGCCTCTGAGGAACCCAGGAGTCCCATTTCTCTGGCACCAGGGCTGTGGCCACAGGACAAAGTCTGTCTCCCCAGTGGGCTGTGGCCACAGGACAGTCTTTCTCCCCAGTGGCGAAGACTTGGGGGCTCAGCATTCAAAATCATTCAAATGTTTTGTGAATACTGATCTTTCATCTTTCCTCCAGGAATTAAAAAAAAAATCATATCTACATAAATGCAGCAGGCATTTTATTCATTAAGTGGGTGTTTAGTACGTCAATACCTCTGTGAGCCTTACTTTCCTGAGTTGCCCAACAAGACTGGGATTCTATAAAGTCCATTCCAGCCCTAAGGGTCTGTGAGCTACAATTAATCAAAACCTTTTCTTTCTCCTCTCAAATTTCCCTTCGCTTTATTTATTTTTTTCTCAATTAAATATAATAATACTCTATTGGAAACAAACTTTTTCCCCACATTTAAGAAACACTTAAAACCATCTTGTCTTTCCCTTTGTGTCTCCTCCTCATGCATCCCAGCAGTCTCCACTTTAGATGCAGCTGTTTTGTGCTGAGTTTTATTTCCTTCAGGTTTCCTCTTTCTTTGAACAGCAGGTGCCAGAATAACAAGGCGGTATGAAATTTACAGAAACCATGTGCTTATACAGTCCACCACCTTATCTAAAATATAATGCTCTTCAACCCTATATCAGATGTCTTGCCATACACTGCAAGGTGCAAAGAATATTGTGCAAGGCTAGTCCTTATTATTTTTTGCACCAAAGTATGGGGCTCCAAAATTACTTGAGTAAAGTACAAAAATTTCTGTGAATCCATTTGCTATATCTTTAATGAAAATGAAAACACTCAAATGAAAACACTCAAACTGAAATTGTTTCCTATTTACACAATAGGGTGTTTAATAAGGTCTCAATTAAAAACTAGTCATGGCATTAAGAATCTTTCTATTTAAACATATTAAAAGACTTGCATCATATTGGAATTCCTCATAGAGCTGGGCTATAAAATGTAATTATTCTTTGAACAAATAAATGCCATTTCAAGATTACCACCTTTCCTTGTGAAATTTGCTTTTTGTTTTTGCGAGAGCGCTCTTGCAGATAGATTTGTTCTATTTTAATTAAAGTTGAGCAGAAAAGGTTTTTGTTTCAAACCATATATCTGAAGCTATAAAAACTTCCTGCTTGATTCTACCAAAAGATGTATGTGATCCTGGATTTGGGGTATTAGCCGTTGCTTGTTACCCACACAGGGTCAGTGGTAGAAAAGCTGATAAAGCAGTTGTACTTTTCTGTTTTCCTGTATCTGACATTTCTGGATCTCTAGTCTCCTGTAACGCCATTACCCCACCAAAATGGAATTGGGTTTGTATGTCTGAGTAAAGGCAAAATAGAAATAGTCATTTCCTGGGTTCAAATTCAACCAATGCTCCTACAGTGTAGATACATTTGTTTTCAAACTTATTCCTGCATCACAGGTTTCTTATTAGCCATGAAAACTTTCAAAAAAGTACGTTCTCTGCTTGGATTTAGCTTTGGGCAGGACCCACAGCAAACAGGGGGAAACAGATGGCCTAATAATGCATCAAATTCAATACATTTACTGTCACCAATTCCTCACTAGGCATCCTGGTGAGCAACAGAGATAGAGTTGGAAAAGACACATTTCTTATCCTCATTGAGTTCATTATAATTTTAGGAGACCAGAAATCCCTCTCTGATCCAAAATATTCTCCCAAATGGCCTACCATGGGGTCTAAGATTCCCATAGTCCCCATTCTTTAGGAATGAGGCATTGAAGGCTGTTGTGAGAACACCAGCAGACAAGCTCGCTAACATTTGCAGGACCCGGGAGGGTTGACCCTCAACAATCTCAGGATTTTCTAACCCACTTATCCTCAACCCTGCTGACAATTAGAACCACCTGAAGTGATTTGTATTAATTTGATAGGCTTGACATGTGTTAGGGTCAAGGTACGGTTCCAGCCCATGCTGAGGTCCAAGGGGAGTGGGTGGATGAAATGGCAGATACCACTCAGGGGGCCGTAGGTAGGTGAAACACAGCTTTATTCAGCAGCTCTGTCATCAGCAGCTCTCTTACACTGTCTGCTCTGTCTCGACTGCTTGCTCCAGCTGCTCCCATGCACGCCTGCGCAGCCGGCTCTCCCTTGCCTTCAGGGTCATCGGCTTAACTCTTTTTCTCTCTGGGCACAAGCATGCCTGTACAGTGCCAGCAGGGCAATTATGCCTTTTACAGACAATAGTGGCATAGAGCCAAGTGATGGCATTCCCATGTCATGGCTACATAGCTGTGTTTACATTATACATGAAATTGTGCGCCTACATTCCAATCCCCCTGCATCACACAGGATGTATACATCCTACCTCGGCCTATCCTTGACCAAAGCACATCCATTACCTTACAATAGGGAGCCCAGAAATCTGTGTTTTTCAGCCAGATTTGGAACGAAAATCTCAAGTTTGTTCTCTCACTTTCTCTTATTTCCCTTCCTCCTCTTCTCCCCTTCTCTCCTCCTCCTCCTCTTCCTCCTGTTCCTCTTTCTCTCACTCTACCCCTTCTTGCTTCTGTTCTACCTCCTCCTCCTCTCTCTCCCTTCTTCTAATACATAAATAACAGGAATAAAATATGGTAAAAAGAAGGGTTCTCCTAAATTATCTTATAGGTGAAGATTCTAAATGTGATGGTCAGAAATATTTTGCATCTGCACACTTTAACATCCTTTTATGCCTATCTTAGTTACCAGGAATATTCAGATCACATGTGTAAAATGCTAAAGAAAAACCTGGTAATTGATTATATGCAGATACCAGGCATAAGCTTTGATTGTTTTAGTGTGGGCACTTTATCATAGACAGAAACAAGGGTATCTTGGAGTGCTTAAGTGGTTCTACACCCAGGAAATTTGAGGTGTTTGTAATACTACATTTACATTGTAACAAGCAGTTGTGGCCCTTTAAATACCTTCTCTGTTATTTCAGACACACTTAGCTTATATATGTGTACAGTACCTTAATAAACCAGTAATGCCAAATTGAACACAAAGATTAATGATCACAGTCAATTAGTACATGATGTATCTATCAGAAAAGCCATGGTGAGGGTAAGAATGATACAATGGACTTTGGGAACTCTAGAGGAAGGGAGGGAAGAGGGTGAGGGATAAAAGACTACATATAGGGTATGGTTCACATTGCTTGAAAGACAACTACACCAACATCTCAGAAATCACCACTGAAGAACTTATCTATATAACCAAAACCCACCTGTTCCCCAAAACTATTGAAATAAAATAAAAGCAAAAAAAACAAGCCATGAGTGTATGGCATATTGAACATAGGAAATTCATATGTCCTACAACTACATTTGGATACTATCAAATTAACTATCACAAGGATGTATTTTGAAAGGGATGATTTTTTGAGTATGTTTTAAGAAGAAAAATAGGAAATACTTATCTTGGGGAATGGTTGCTGGATATTAATTATGAAAGAATAATGATCACAAAGCAGATAAAGGAATAATGTGCTAGATGAAAAACATCTTTTTTATTTTTTTGAAAAATATCTTTTAATAAAATAGGAAAAATTATAAGGTTAAGTTAGATGTATGAAAACAAGATTTTATTTGTAGTCCTGCATGTTTGCAAATATGTTGCATACTAACCTTTGTTAATAGAACCAATAATAACTAGAGAAAAATATATACACTAGCACTATGTTTCTATTAGGAGCATATTTTGGGATGTAAAAATGAAGCTATACAATTTTTGACATTTCTGTCCCCCATTAAGAGAATCGGGAATTTTTTTTTCTTAGGGAGCAGTGGCTCCTGTTGTTTCCCTTTGAGCTCTTTCTTCATACTTAGCAGAGGCCTCAGAAATTAATGTCACTTTTATTCCTAATATTATAATTCTACTCTGGGGTATTTTCTCATTTCATATTTATGTCACACAAGAGCTAGATTCTAATTTTTTTTTTTTTTTTTTGGAAACAGAGTCTCGCCCCGTTGCCCAGGCTGGAGTGCAGTGACGCGATTTCAGCTCACTGCAACCTCCGCCTCCCAGGTTCAAGCAATTCTCCTGCCTCAGCCTCCTGAGCAGTTGGGATCACAGGCGTTGAGCCACCATGCCTGGCTAATTTTTGTATTTTTAGTAGAGATGGGGGTTTCACAATGTTGGTCGGGCTGGTCTCGAACTCCTGACCTCATGATCCTCCCATCTCAGCCTCCCAAAGTTCTGGGTTTACAGGTGTGAGCCATCATGCCCAGCCTCCAATTTATTCTTTAGTTGAAGTCTGTGTTAGTTCATTCTCACACTGCTATAAAGAACTACCTGAGAATGGGTAATTTATAAAGAAAAGAAGTTTAATTGGTTCATGGTTCTACAGGTTGTACAGGCTTCTGCTTCTGAGGAGGCCTCAGGAACTTACCATCATGAGAACACCGTGGGGAAAGTCTGTCCCCATGATCCAATCACCTCCCACCAGGTCCCTCCCCCAACATTGGGAATTACAAGTCAACATGAAATTTGGGTGGAGGAACAGAGCCAAACCATATCAAAGTCCTTCTCTCCCAAAGTCTATGTAAATGGCTGTAAGCAGAAAATCAGCAGCTTTTTTTTTTTTTTTTTTTTTTTTTGAGACGAGAGTTTCACGTTTCACTCTTGTCGCCTAGACTGGAGTGCAATGGTGCGATCTCGGCTCACTGCAACCTCCGTCTCCTGGGTACAAGCGATTCTCCTGCCTTAGCCTCCCAAGTTGCTGGGATTACAGGAACCTGCCACCATGCCAGCTAATTTTTTTGTATTTTTAGTAGAGATATACTAGCAGAGAGTAGGGCTTCACCATGTTGGCCAGGCTGGTCTCAAACTCCTGACCTCAGGTGATCCACCCGCCTCAGCCTCTCAAAGTGCTGGGATTACAGGCGTGAGCCACCGCGCCTGGCCAAATGAGCAGCTTTTTAAGTCATTCATGTGGCTTCTGAGAAATGGGGCTGCTGTAATTGATAACTTGGCCCCTAAATACCGAATCCACTCAGAACAAGGCAGAGAGATGAGTGAAGCATGGGGACCTCACAGCTTTCTTGAAGTATAACTGAAATACAAAAAACTGCTCATATTTAATATATACAATTAGATGCCGAGAGACTTTAAATGTCACCGTGTCGTGGGCTGTGTCCTCCCAAATTCTTGTGTTGAAGTTCTAACTCCCAGTACCTCAGAACGTCTCTCTACTTGGAGACAGAGTCTTCAAAGAGATATTTAAGTTAAAATGAGGTCATTAGGGTGGGCTTTGATCCAGTTTGACTGATGAAAAGGAAATTGGGACACAGAGGAAAGGCCATGTGGCCAGGCAGGGAAAAGACAGCCATCCACAAGCCAAGGAAAGAGGCCTCGGAGGACTTGCTGCCTCAGAACCACGAGAAGATACATTTCTGTTGGTGAAACTACCCAGTCTGTGGTACCTCGTTAGGGGAGCCCTAGCAAACTAACACATACAGGTATATCCAGAAACAGAGTTCACCACCTTCCCACACACAGGGGAGACGTTGCCTTGTATATGTGATACCTCAGACCAGAGAAAGTTTCCACTGGCTGCTGGACTCTTAAATTGATGTGACAATATTGACAGTATCTTTAGCCTGACTTCTAGAAGAGTAATCAGTGAACCAGCCTCTTGATAAAGAAATAACGTCCAAATAAAATGATGTGTATTTTCACAGAAGCCCTCCATTGCTCGTGAAAACAGTTCTTATCACTTTTCTAACAGAGGAATATTATAAAGACAAAGTGGGAAAATACTTCACTGTGTGAAGTAGCTTTGGTTCAGCTGCAAACCTAGACTCTCACCTCAGTACTAAATCGGAACTGGCTGTGAAGGATTACAAATAAAATGCTGGTGTTGCTGAAGCATCTTATCTACAACAAAAGACAAGAACTGGTATTTCTTAGTATTATTGTGTTCCAGCAAGTGGTTTATGTAGTTGGGCTCCTGAACGCCTTCCTGTGCCTTGTTAAATTTATCACTTTTCTAGCTTCTACAAGAGAAAAAACACTTAAAGAAGATAAGCTCTGGGCAGTACAATGACAAACTCCTGTACATACATACTTTCATCTTTTTTTTCTGAACCCATTGACTTTGCTCCAAAGATTAAAAAACTATTACCATTATCCTCCCTCTTGTCTACATCATCTCTTATTTGGATTGATTCCATTTATATATTTGTTTCAAAGTTTGATTTATTTGGAACTTACATCAAACGTTTAATGAAATACAGACATCATTTTTTCTTGATTTCTTGTTACAAAGTAATTGGCTTAACATACAGGAGTTGCATACATAATTGTACTTTCATCTATATCTCAATCTTTGGCTCCATTCTTGGTTTTATGCCTGTATCTATCCATTGAGGAACCAAAAACAATGCAAAATATAATGCAATACCAGAACTACGAAGAAAAACAAAGTACATGTTTACAGGTGAAAGTGTCCCACAGAACTGTTAAGAGTTGGTAAAAATTCTGCCTCTGAACCTCCTAGAAAGCACAGTATTAAAGAAAACACATTTCTTTGCAAAGAGAAAAGTTTAAGTAAAGAAAGAAAAACTATATGATCTTGAGCAAACTAAGTAACCACCCTATGCCTCAGTTTTCTTATATGTCAAATGGAAATGAGAGAAGTAATTTTTTCTTTTCTTTTCTTTTCTTTTCTTTTTTTTTTTTTTTTTTGAGACAGAGTCCTGTTCTGTCGCCCAGGCTGGAGTGCAGAGTGGTGCGATCTCGGCTCAAGCAAGCTCCGCCTCCCAGGTTCACGCCATTCTCCTGCCTCAGCCTCCCGAGTAGCTGGGACTACAGGCGCCCGCCACCACGCCTGGCTAATTTTTTTTTTTTTTTTTTTTTTTAGTAGATACGGGGTTTCACCGTGTTAGCCAGGATGGTCTCGATCTCCTGACCTCGTGATCTGCCCACCTCCGCCTCTCAAAGTGCTGGGATTACAGGCGTGAGCCACCGCGCCCGGCCGAGAAGTAAATTTTTCATGGCATGTTACAAGTATTAAATTAAACATACCAGTATTAGTAAAGCATTTAGAACAGTGGCTGGCACAAAGTAAGCACTATTTAAGTGTTTTTTAACTAAAAAATAAAATAAATGCTAAGGGAATTTCTCAAGGAATGCAGTTTTACCCAGCACCTAATTTTAAAAGATAGTTCTCATCGGGAGCTTCACCTTATCTATAGGACAGTGAGAGGTAAGGCAAAATGTTCTCTGATGACTTCTCTATTGCAAACACATTTATGGGATTCATGAAATGTTTTCTTGACTTATCCCTCAGTAAGCACTGAGAACAGAACGCTGAACTCAGGGAAAGCAATTTTGCAGCAGGCCAAGATAATATGTTCCGAACCTGCAATGTTCTGGTGATCAGGCTTTAGGTCTAGATTATAAAGAAATGAATGGGCTCATTTCATTCAAATAACACTTTATAAATATCAGTTTTCTTATCTGGGCATTTTATAAGTTGTGCAGTGGAAGCACAGAGTTATAGTCTCGGCTAGGGCTGAAGATACTGCATTCCACTGATAAAGCCAGGGATGCAGTGTAGCATTTGCTGGTCAATAGCAGACATACTTGTTTTCATATCCTGGCTATGCCACTGGATGGCTGTGTGACCTTGGGCAAATTATTCCACTCTTTATCTCCTTGGTTCTCTGAGTATCTCCAATCTCATAATAGTGCCTTGAAAATGAAGGAGACGATGTACGTGTAGCATTAACAAACTGAGTGATGACAAGTGGGGACTCAGCCTTTTGCTAGTTTTCTGTGTTAGGCTCCTCAGTTGCAAGTGGGAGTGGTAATGATACCTTTCTCATAAGATTATTTCAAGAATTCAATGCAAGCACAAAACACAGTGATTAACACATGTTAAGTGTCTAAGGAAGGTTACCTGTTACCATGCTTTTTTCAATCTTCTCTTAAATGCTGCACATAATACATTTTAATTGAATTCACACTTGACAAAAATGGCATATTTGGGGAGCAGGGTTTTAGAAAAGATTTTTCAACTATGTTTTCATAAACGAAATGCAAGTTATTCATATAAACTTTTATGATTATAAAAACAGTACTTGGGCATTTTACAAGCTTAGAAAATACATGCAAGCAAAAATACAAAATAAAAAATTACATTCTCATGACAGAGATTACCACAAAAAAGCTCTTAGAGCATATTTACCTACGTTTTTCCTATAATATATGCAAGCAATATTTTTAGTAGTACAAGATCATACTGTGCAAACATTTATAATATGCTTTTTCAGTTGACTATCTTGGTCTTTACAGATCAATAAATTTTTATCTCATACCTAAACACAATGAAATGTTCTCAAATGTCCTAATTATGTTTCTTATAGCTAGTTTGTCCAAATCAATATCCAGTATAGAACCAGTACAGGTGCTTGTGCTTCAATAATTTTTTTTGATCAGTTCTATCTCAGTCTAATTTATGTACAGAAAAAGTTAAATATCTTAAGTGTACAGTTTAATGAGTTTTGACACTTGTATAAACCTATGAAACCAACATGCAAATAAAGGTAGAGAAAATTTCATCCCTCCACAGTTTCCACATGCCCCATTTCAGTCCATTGAACCCCCAGAGGCAACTGTTCTTCTGACTTCTATCACCATAAATTAGTGTTGACTATTCCTGAACCTCATATAAATTGAGTGATTCAGTGTTTACTCCTATGATTCTACCTTCTCTCACTAAACATAATGTTTTTGAAATACTTCCATGTTGTTGTATGTATTAGTATTCCACTCCTTTTTATTGTTAAGTAGAAATACACCGTGTTGGTATACCAAGGTTTGTTTACCCATTCTTTTATTGAGGTGGGTTTAATAATGATCCCCTAATTCTTTGATACTCTTCCATTGGGAAGTGAGGTTTATGTCTCCAACCTCATACTTAGGTTCTGTGGCTGCTTGACAATAGAAACTAGCAGCTTCTACTTCCTGTCTCCTGGGACACTTGCTCCTGGAACACTGCCATCATATTGTAAGGAAGCCCAAGCAGCACTGTGGAGAGGCCCACATAAAGAGGTCTGGGTGGAAAAGAAATGTAGCCTCTAGAAGCACTCAATTATTTTTTAAAAATTAATTTTTTAAGTTAGATTATTTCAATTTTGTTTTACATTTACACGTCCCTCATAAAATCCACCATCTCTTAACTCATCCAACCCATCTTTTTATTTAAATTCTTTAACATATTTATAACAGTTGTTTTCAAGTCTTTGTCAGCAAATTTCATTATGTGAGTCATTAGTAGTTCTGTCTTTATTGAATTATCTTCTATTTTATAGGTCAATATATCTACCTCTTTACATATCTTATAAATATCCCAGTCATAGTGTTTTAAAGAACAGTTGAGAATGAAATAATACCTTTTTCTTTCTTTCTTCTCTTTTTTCTCACAGTGTACAAGAACTTTCTTCAATCAGACAGTCAATGTGAAGTCTGTTCTTTTACATTCTACTTACTTTGAATTGGATTAAGGCTGGACTGCAGCTGCAGTTACTTGGAACTTATGCCTGATTTCCAATGTGATTTAGGAGATCTCAGTTTGTACTAAACCTTAACCCCAACCCCCAATTTTCTTCACTACTATTGCTACAACTGAGGGGCAAATAAAGCCCTATGATCTTCCCAGGATATGAACCTGAAAGACTTTGATTGGTAGCTTAGTTTGTTACAATTCACTTATAGATTCAACTTTGGCAGGGCCCTGAGATCTGAGCACCATGAAATGGCCAAAATTTATTCTACCTTCTAGCCCTGCCTCCATAACTATTTCTACTACTTTCTCAGGAAAAAATGCCCAGGAATTGGGATGTGTTGATCTGAAAAACTATGTTTGCATTTGAGCAATTACAGATTCCATTTTCTTTTGCTGACTCACACTGCTGTCAAAGCCTGGCTGGTTTCTCCTCATCCCTTCCTCTTCCATCCATTACAAGTTTACTTCCCCACATAACCACAGTCAGGTTGGACATTTGCCCATATGTGTGGAAGCATCTGTGGCTCTTTGCTCATCCCTTTCTGGAATTTAGCTCGTTAAGGTTTCTTTGCATCCACTGCTCTTTCATAGCATTATAGAAAAGTAGGTTTTTTTCCCCTTGTTGCTACATTCAGAAATAGTGGTCCTTTGCATCATTCACATCCTAACCAGAAACAGAACTCCAAAACAATTTTCCAATTTTAAACTTTGGCTGGGGTCAATTGTGTGATTTATAATGTTTGCATTAAAGAAATCCCTTAAATATTAAGCAGAGAGTAGAAGGGTATTGGATATGCAATTGGAATTTCTGAAGCACCAATCTACCACTTACTAATTTTGTGATTCTCTGCATGTTTTTCAAAAGGGAGAAAGTGATTGACAGTGATATATGAAGAGACCCAGGCAAAGAACACAAATCACTTTAAAGTAAAAGATAAAGGACTTAGCCACATGGTGGTGGCTATACTAGGCTAGACACTCCACAGCACTCTTCCCTCTGGAGGAGCAGCTTCCATGGCCTTCAGCACCTAGGACTGTGATTCTCCACCAAGGACATGGCCTGTCTGAGGAGAGGATATTCTTAGTCAGGTTCTTTAGGGCAGTCAACGCGGGTCCAAGGCCATTCTGCCCCTATGAACTTTATTTTCCTATGACTGTACAGAGAAGCACCTGTCATTCTCCCTGTGTTACGTGCTCTGGAGAAGGCAGGGAAAAACAAGTGAGCCCTTCTGGTTGTCTGGGGATGTGATGTCCATCTTTTATCACTTCACTTCTAGCCCCGTCCTGGGAACATACAGGGCAGTGTAACAAATCAAAGACCACTTCTATCACCCCAGGATCTGATCATCATGTATGGAAATGGGCTTCAGGTCTTTCTTAAGCTGCACCTTAACACACATGTAAGATATTTAAACTCTCTCAGCATCTAATTGTATATACGAAATGTGAGCAGGTTTTTTGTATATCTGTTATACCTCAAGAAAGCTGTAAAAAATAAACTCAGCATCAAGTGTCTCACAAATAGAGTGGGCTTGATAATAATAATACTTAACTCACTGCTGGCAAAGGTAATAGGTGTGAACTTTGTTTG